>NC_000020.11:31157036-31159119 GCF_000001405.40 Homo sapiens | reverse complement strand
CGGGTTGATTCCACTCCATTCTTTTCCATTCCATTCCATTCCATTCCATTCCATTCCATTCCATTCCATTCCATTCCATATGGGTTGATTCCTTTCCAATCCATTCCATTCCATTTCATTCTATTCCATTTCATTTCACTAGGGTTGATACCATTCCATTCCATTCCATTCCATTCCAATCCATTCCACTCCATTCCATTTCATTCCATTCCGTTCCACTAGGGTTGATTCCCTTCCCTTCCATTCCATTCCATTCCGTTACATTACATTACATTCCACTCGGGTTGATTCCATTCCATCCATGCCTTTCCATTCCATTCCATTCCACTGCATACCACTCTGGTTCTTTCCATTCTATTCCATTCCATTCCATTCCATTCCAAACCATTCCATTACATTCCATTCCATTCGACTGGGGTGGATTCCATTCCATTCCATTCCATTCCATTCCATTCCATTCCATTCCTTTGCATTCCTCTCGGCATGATTCCGTTCCTTTGCATTACTTTCCATTCCATTCCAGTCCAGTCCATTCCATTCCATTCCATTCCATTCCATTCCATTCCATTGCATTTCATTCCATGACACTCGGGTTGAATCCATTTCATTCCATTCCATACCATTCGATTTCATTCCATTCAATTCCGTTCCAATTGGGTTGACTCCATTCCATTCCATTCCATTCCATTCCATTCCATTCCATTCCATTCCATTCCATTCCACTCGGATTCATTACATCCCATTGCATTCTATTCCATTCCATTCCATTACATTCCACTCGGGGTGATTCCATTCCATCCCACCATTCCATTCCATTCCATTCCATTCCATTCCATTCCATTCCATTCCATTCCATTCCATTCCACTCAGGTTGATTCTATTGCATTCCATTCCATTCCATTCCATTCCATTCCATTCCATTCCATTCCATTGCATTACATTCCATTTGGGTTTATTCCATTCCATTCCATTCCATGCCATTCCATTGTATTCCGTTCCATTCTATTCCACTCGGGTTGATTCCATTCCATTCCATTCCATTGCATTCCATTCCGTTCCATTGCATTCCACTCGCGTTAATTCCATTCCATTCCGATCCATTCGATTCCATTTCATTCTGTTCCATATCATTCCATTCGGTTAGATTCCATTTCATTCCATTCCAATCCCATTGATTCCATTCCACTGCATTCCATTCCAGTGCATTCCATTCCACTGCATTCCATTCCATTGCATTCCACTCGGGTTGATTCCATTCCATTCCATTCCATTCCATTCCATTCCATTCCATTCCCCTCGGGTTGATTCCATTCCAATCCATTCCATTGCATTCCATTCCATTCCACTCGAGTTGAATCCATTCCATTCCATTCCATTGCATTGCATTCCAATCCATTCCATTCAATTCCACTCGGGTTAAATCCATTCCATTCCATTCCATTCCACTCCATTCCATTCCATTCCATATCATTCCACTCGGTTTGATTGCATTCCATTCCATTATATTCGAATCCATTCCAATCCTTTCCAATCCATTCCACTGCACTCCATTCCATTCCACTCGGGTTGATTCCATTCCATTCCATTCAATTCCATTCCATTCCATTCCATTCCATTCCATTGCATTCCACTACATTACGTTACATCACATTCCACTCGGGTTGATTCCATTCCATTCCATTCCATTCCATTCCATTCCATTCCATTCCATTCCATTCCATTCCATTTGGTTACATTCGGGTTTATTGCATTAAATTCCATTCCCTTCCATTCCATTACATTACATTCCACTCGTGTTGATTCCATTCCATCCATTCCATTCCAGTCCATTCCATTCCATTCCATTCCACTCGGATTGATTCCATTCCATTCCGTTCCATTCCATTATATTCCATTCCATTCCACTCGATTTGATTCCATTCCATCCATTCCATTCCATTCCATTCCATTCCATTCTGTTCCATTCCGTTCCGTTCCATTCCACTCGGGGTGATTCCATTCCCTTCCATTCCATTGCATTGCATTCCATTCAATTCCTTTCCACTGCGGTTCATTCCATTCCCTTCCATTCCATTCCATTTCA
>NC_000020.11:31051508-31107036 GCF_000001405.40 Homo sapiens | reverse complement strand
GAATTCCATCCTATTTGATTCCATTCCACACGATAGCATTCCTTTCGAGACATTTCGTTTGAATCCATTCCATTTGTGTTAATTCCTTTTAAATCTTTTCCATTCGAGTCCATTCCATTCAAGTCCATTGCATTCTAGTCTTTTTATTCGAGCACATTCCATTCTATTCCATTCCATTCCATTCCATTCCATTCCATTCCATTCCATTTCATTCCATTCCATTCCATTCCATTCCATTCCATTCCATTCCATTCCTTTCCATTCCATTCTATTCCAATCCTTTCCATTCCATTCAATTCCATTCAATCCCTTTCCATTCGATTCCAGTCTTTTTGATTCCACTCCAATAGTTTCCATTCCATTTGTGTCTTTACAATTCGAGTCCATTCCTTTCCAGTCCTTTACATTCGAGTCCATTCCATAGCATTCCATTCCATTCCGTTCCATTCCATTTTTTCCAATTCCATTTTTTCCCATTCCATTTGAAGCCATTCCATTCAATTTCCATCCATTCGATTCCATTCCATTCCATTCCATTCCATTCCTTTCAATTCCTTTCGAATCTAATCCATATGATTCCTTTCCTTTCCATTCCATTCCATTCCATTTCATTCCATTCTTTCCCTTTCCATTTGATTCCATTCCATTTCATGCCATTGCATTGGATTTCATTCCTTTCTATTCCATTCCATTACTTTCCTTTTCATTCCATTTGATGATATTCCATTTGATTCCGTTCAATTCCATGTGATTCAATTCCATTCCCTTCCATTCCATTCGATTCAATTTGATTCTGTTCCTTTCCATTCCATTCCATTCCATTCCATTCCATTCCATTCAAGTCCATTCCATTTGATTCCATTGCATTCCATTCCATTTCATTCGATTCAATTTCATTCGAAACCGTTCCATTCCAGTCTTTTCCACTGGAGTCCATTCCATTCCATTCCATTCCATTCCATTCCATTCCATTCCATTCCATTCCATTCCATTCCATTCCATTCCTTTCCATTCCATTCCATTCCACTCGGGTTGATTCCATTCCATTTGATTCTTTCCTATTCAATTCCATTAAATTCGATTCCATTCCATTCCATTCCATTCCATTCGTACCCCTTCAATTCGATTCCATTTCATTCGATTCGAATACCTTACATAAGTTTCCATTCCATTGGATTCCATTCCTTTTGATTCCATTCCTTTCGAGTAAAAACTTTTGAGTCTATATCATTCCAGTCCATTCCATTCGAGTCCAATCAATTCCTTTGCTTTCCATTCCAGTCCATTCCATTGGATTCGATAGCTTTCCATTCGGGTTGATTCCATTCACATCCATTACATTCCACTCCTATACATTCAAGTACATTCCATTTTATTCCATTCAATTCCACTCCTATACATTCGAGTATATTCCATTTTATGCCATTCCATTCCATTCCATTGTGTTCAATTCCATTCGAGTCCATTCTTTTCTAGTCCATTTTTTTGAGTCCCTTCAATTACAGTCCATTTCATTTATATTCCATTGCATTTGATTCTATTCCACTCTATAGCATTCCTTTCAAGACCATTCCATTTGAATCCACTGCATTCGGGCCCATTCCGTTCGAATCCTTTCCATTCGAGTCCATTCCATTCAAGTCCATTCCATTCCAGTCCTTTACATTGGAGTACAATCCATTCCGTTCGATTCCATTGCATTTCATTCCATTCCATTCAATTCTATTCCATTCCATTACATTCTATTCTATCGCATTCCATTTGATTCCATTCCATTTGATTTCATTCCATTCAAGTCGATTCCATTCCTTTCCATTGCTTTTCATTCTATTCCATGTGATTCCATTCCATTCCACTCGATTCAATATCATTCCCTTCCATTCCATTCCATTCCATTCCATTCCATTCCATTCGACTCAATTCCCTTCCATGCCATTTCATTCCTTTCCATTCAAGTCCATTCCTTTTGATTTCATTCCATTCGATTCCATTCCATTCGACTCTTTTACATTTGAAACCGTTCTAGTCCTTTCCATTCCATTCGATTCATTTCCATTCCAGTGTTTTTCGTTTGATTCCTTTGCATTCAATTCCAATCCATTTGATTCCTTTCTATTCAATTCCATTCCATTTGATTGCATTCCATTGCATACCATTCCATTCGATTCCATTCCATCCGAACACATTACATTCGTTTTCATTCCATTCGATTCCATTCCATTCAATTCCATTCCTATTTAGTCCATTTCATTCGACTCCATATCATTAAAGTCCATTGAATTCGAGTCCATTCCGTTGCAATCGAGTCCATTTCATTCCATTTCTTTCGAGTGCATTCCATTCATTTCAAGTCAATTCCATTCCATTGCTTTCGAGTCCACTCAATACCATTCCATTCCTTTCGAGTCCATTCCATTGCATTCCATTCCATTTGAGTCCACTACATTCCATTCCATTCCATTCCATTCCATTCCATTCCATTCCATTCCATTCCATTCAAGTCCATTTCACTCCATTACGTTCCATTCCACTCGAGTCCATTCCATTCCATTTGTGTCCATTCCATTCCATTCCATTCGAGTCCATTCCATTGCATTCCACTCGTGTCCATTCCATTCATTTCCATTCGAGTCAATTCCATTCCATTCCATTCTGTTCCATTAGTGTCCATTCCTTTCATTTTGAGTCCATTCCCTTCCATTCCATTCGAGTCTATTCCATTCTATTCCATTTGAGTGCATTCCATTCCATTCCAGTAGGATCCTTACCTTTAAGTTGCATTTTATTAAATTCGAGTCCATTCCATTCCATTCCGTTCCTTTCATGTTCATTCAATTCCATTCATTTCCATTCCATACTATTCATTTGAAATCCGTTCCTTTCCATTCCATTCTATTCCATTCAAGCCCATTCCATTCCATAACATTCCACTCCATTCGAGTCCATACGATTCTATTCCATTCCATTCCATTCCAATTGGGTCCAATCCTTTCCATTCCATTCGAGTCCACTCCATTCCATTTGAGTCCATTCAATTCCATGCCATTCCACTCGAGTAATTTCCATTCCATTCCATTCCATTCCATTCTAGTCCGTTGTTTTCCTTTGGAGTCCATTCCATTCCATTCCATTCCATTAGAGTCCATTCCATTCCATTCTATTCCATTCCATTCCATTCTTTTAAAGTCCATTTATTTCCATTCCATACGATTTGAGTCCATTCGTATACAGTCCATTCCATTGTATTCCATTCGAGTCCATTCCATTCCACTCGAATCCCTTTCATTTCATTACATTACATTAGATTCGAGTCCGTTCCATAGCATAACACTCTGTTTGACGTGAGTCCATTCAATTCCATTCTATTTCATTCAAATCCAGTCTACTCTATTCTATTCGAGTCCATTCCATTTCATTCCATTCCAGTCGCATCCATTCCATTCCATTCCATTCCATTTGAGTCCATTGCATTCCTTTCCATTCTTGTCCATTCCATTCCATTCGAGTCCATTCCATTCCATTTTATTCGAGTCAATTCCATTCCATTCCCTTCTATTAAATTGAAGTAAATTCCATTCCATTGCACTCCATTCCATTCCAGTGCATTCCACTCCATTCCATTCCATTCGTGTCCATTCCATTCGAGTATATTCCATTCCATTCTATTTAATTCGAGTCCATTCCATTCGATTCAATTCATTCAAGTCCATTCCATTCCATTCCACTTGATTCCATTCCATTCGAGTCCATTCAATTACATTAAATTCCTTTTGACTCAATTCCATTCCATTCACGTCAATTCCTTTCCATTTCATTCGAGTCCGTTCCATTCCATTCCATTCTATTCCATTAAAGTCCATTCCTTTCCTTGCTACTCTTTTCCATTCTATTGCTTTCCATTCCATTCCATTCCATTCCATTCCATTCCATTCCATTCCATTCCGTTAAATTCCTTTCAATTCGTGTCCATTCCATTCCTTTCGAGTCCATTCCATTCCATTCTATTCCATGCGAGTACATTCCATTCCATTCCAATCCATTTCATTCGAGTCCATTCCATTCCATTCGTGTCCATAACATTCCATTCCTTTAGATTTCATTCCATTCCATGCCACCCCATTTGAGTCCATTCCTTTCCATTCCATTCCAATCCGTTCCATTCTGCTCCATTCCATTCCATTCCAATCCTTTCCATTCCATTCCTTTCTAGTTCTTTTCTTTCCTTTACATTCCATACCATTGTAGTTCATTCCATTCCGTTATGTTCCATTTCATTCTATTCAATTCAAATCCTTTCCATTCCATTCGAGTACATCCCACTCCATGCCATTCGAGTCCATTCCTTTCCATTCGAGTCCAGTCCATTCCATTGCATTCGAGTCCATTCAATTCCATGCTATTCCATTTGAATCCATTCTTTTCTATTCCATTCCATTTGAGTCCAATCCATTCAAACCCATTCAATTCCACTCCTCTCAATTCCATTCCATTCAATCCATTCCATTCCATTCCATTTCATTCCATTCCATTCCAATTCATTCGAGTCAATTGCATTCCATTCCATTCCTTTCCATTTCTTTAGAGTCCATTCAATTCAGTTGCATTTCATTAGAATGCATTCCATTCCATTCCACTCCATTCCATTCCTTTCGAGTCCGTTCCATTCCATTCCACTCCGTTTGGGTAAATTTCATTCCATTTCATTCCATTCCATTCCAGTCCATTCTTTTCCGTTATATTCCACTCCATTCATCTCCATTCAATTCTATTCCATTCCATTTTCTTCCATTCCACTCCATTTCATTTGATACCACTCATTCCCTCTCCATCCACTCCATTGTATTCCATTCGAATTCTTTCCATTCCATTCCATTCCATTCGCTTCCTTTCCATCCCATTCCAGTTCGTTCGAGTCCATCCGAGTCCATTCCATTCCATTCCATTCGAGTCCATTGCATTCCTTTCCATTCGAGTCCATTCCATTCCAACCTGTTACATTCGAGTCTTTTCCATTCCATTCCGTTTGAGTCCATTCAATTCCATCTCATTCCTTTCGAGTCTATTCCATTCCATTACATTCGAGTCCATTCCATTCTATTCCATACCAGTCCATTCCATTGCATTCCATTCTATTCCTTTCTAGTCCCTTCCATTCCATTCCATTCCATTCTTTTCGAGTCCATTCCATTCCGTTCTCGTCCATTCCATTTCTTTCCATTCGTTTCCATTCCATTCCTTTCTAGTGCAATCCATTAAAACCATTTCCACACGAGTCCATTCCATTCCATTCCATTCGAGTGCATTCAATTCCATCCAATACTATTTGAGTCCATTCCATTGCATTCCATTCCATTCCATTCCAGTCCAGTCCATTCCATTCTATTCCAATCAAGTTCACTCCATTCCATTTGAGTCCGTTCCATTTAATTCCATTCCATTCCATTCCTTTCCATTTCATTCGGTTCCATTCCTTTTGAGTCCATTCAAATAAATTGCTTTTCGTTCGAGTCCATTCCATTCCATTCCATTCGAGTCCATTCTATTCCATTGCATTCGAGTGTATTCTTTTCCATTCCACTCCATTCCGTTCCATTTGATTCCATTACATTCCATTACATTTGTGTCCATTCCACTCCAACACATTCCAGTCCATTCGAGTCCATTCAATTCCTTTCCATTCCATTCGAGTCTGTTTCTCTCCATTCCATTCGACTCGATTCCATTCCACTCCATTCCATTTGAGTGCATTCCATTCTATTCAATTCGAGTCCAGTCTATTCCATTCGAATCCTTTCCATTCTATTCCATTCGAGTCCATTCCATTCCATTCCATTATATTTTATTCGAGTCCATTACATTCAATTCCATTCTACTGGAGTCCATTCAATTCTATTCGTATCCATTCCATTCCATTCCATTCAAGTCCATTCCATTCCATTCTATTCCATTTGAATCCATTCCATTCCATTACTTTCTAGTCCATTCCACTCAAACCCATTCCATTCGAGTCCATTCCATTCCGCTCCATAAGTGTCCATTCCATTAGATTCCATTCCATTGCATGCGAGTCCATTCCATTCCTTTGAAGTTCATTCCATTCTGTTCCTTTCAAATCCTTTCCATTCCATTCCTTTCTATTCCATTCAAGTTCGTTCTATTCCATTCAAATCCATTCCATTCCTTTCCATTTCATTCGGGTCCATTCCATTCCATTCCATTGCATTCAAGTGCATTCTATTCCATTCGAGTCCATTCCATTCTATTCCACTCAAATCCATTCCATTCCTTTCCATTTAATTCGAGTCCATTCCATTCCTTTCCATTCCATTCGAGTCCATTCCATTCCATTCCATTCGAGTCGGTTCCATTCCATTCCTCTCCTTTCCATTCCATTCCATTCCATTCCATCCCATCCCATTCCATTTGGTGTCTTCCATTCCATTACATTCCAGTCCATTCTATTCCATTTGGGTCCATTCCAATCCATTCCATTTGAGTCCATTCTATTCCATTCGAGTGCATTCCATTCCATTCCATTCTAGTCTATTCCATTCCATTCAATTCCATTCGATTCCATTCCGTTATATTCCACTTCATTCGAATCAATTCGTTTCCACTCCATTAATATCCATTCCATTCCATTATATTCCATTCCACTCCATTCAGGTCCATTCCATTCCATTCCATTCCATTCGAGACCATTCCTTTCCATTGCATTTCATTAATATCCATTGTTTTCCATTCCACTCGAGTCGATTCCATTCCATTCCATTCCAATCCATTCTAGTCTATTCAATTCCATTCCATTCATTTCCATTCCTTTCGCGTCCATTCAGTTCAGTTGCATTCCATTAGAATCCATTCCATTCCATTCCATTCCATTCCATTCTTTCGATTCCATTCCATTCCATTCCACTTCATTTGAGTAAATTTCATTCCGTTCCTTTCCATTCCATTGGAGAGCATTCTATTCCATTCAATTCCATTCCATTCATCTCCATTCAATTCTATTCCATTCCATTTGATTCCATTCCACTCTATTCCATTCGAGTCCACTCCTTTCCTCACCATTCCATTTGAGTCCCTTCCATTCTATTCCATTCGAGTTCATTCCGTTCCATACCATTCCATTCCAGTCCATTCCATTCCGTTCCATTACGTTCGAGTCCATTCGAGGCCATTCCATTCGTTCCATTCGAGTCCATTCCATTCCATTCCATTAAAGTGCATTCTTTCCATTCCATTATATTCCATTCCATTCCATTCCATTCCATTCGAGTGCATTCCTTTCCATTCCAATCCATTCCATTCCATTTGATTCCTTTATATTCCATTCCATTCGTGTCCACTCCATTCCAACACATTCCAATCCATTCGAGTCCCTTCAATTCCATTCCATTCCATTCGAGTCCATTTTACTCCATTCCATTGGTGTCAATTCCATTCCATTCCATTCCATTCTACTCAATTCTAGTCTAATCTATTCCATTTGAGTCCTTTACATTCTTTTCCTTTCGAGTCCATTCCATTCCATTGCATTCCATTCTAGTCCATTCGATTCCGTTCTATTCAATTTGAAACCATTCCATTCCATTCTTTTCTAGTCCATTCCATTGAAACCCATTCCATTCGAGTCCATTCCATCCCACTCCACAAGTGTCCATTTCGTTAAATTCCATTCCGTTACATTTGAGTCCATTCCATTTATTTGAAATCCATTCCATTACTTTTTTGTCTTTTCCATTCCATTCTATTCTATTCCATTCTAGTGCATTGCATTCCAATCCATTCCATTCCATTACCTTCCTTTCCATTCCATTCCTTTCCATTCCATTCCATTCCATTCCATTCCATTCCATTCCATTCCATTCCATTCCATTCGGCTCCATTCCATTCCATTCAAGTCCATTCCATTCCATTCAAGTCCATTCCATTGCATTAGAGTCCTTTCCATTCTATTGCAGTCAAGTTCATTCCATTCCATTCGAGTCCCTTCCACTCCATTCCATTCAATTGGAATCCATTCCATTCCATTTGAGACCAATCAATTCCCTGCAGTTCAATTAGAGTCCGTTCCATCCCATTCCATTCAATTCGGGTCCATTCCATTGCATACCTTTCCATTCATTTCGAGACCATTCAATTCCATTCCATTGTATTCGAGTCCATTCCATTCAATTCCATTCGATTCCCTTCGATTCCCTTCCATTCCATTCCATTCTTTGTGTCCATTCAATTCTATTGTATTCCATTCGTGTCCATTCCAATCCATTCCATTCCATTCCATTCCATTCAATTTGAATCCATTCCTTTCCATTCCATTACTTTCGAGTCCATTTCGTTCCGTTACATTCCATTCCATTCGAGTTCATTCCATTCCGTTACTTTCCATTCCATTTGAGTCCATTCATTTCCATTCCATTCCATTCGAGACCATTCCCCTCCTTTCCATTCGAGTCCAATCCATTCCATTCCATTCCATTCCATTCCATTCCATTCCATTCCATTCCATTCCATTCCGTTTGAATCCATTTGAGTCCATTCCATTCCATTCAACTCCATTCCATTACATTCCATTCAAGTCCATTCTTTCCATTCCATTCCATTCCATTCCATTCGAGTGCATTCCTTTCCATTTCATACCATTTGATTCCATTGCATTCCATTGCATTCGTGTCCACTCCATTCCAATACATTCCAATCCATTCGAGTCCGTTCAATTCCATTCCATTACACTAGAGTCCATTTCACTCCATTGTATTGGAGTCCATTTCTTTCCACTGCATTCCATTTGATTCCATTCCATTCCATTCAATTCCAGTCCATTCTATTCCGTTTGTGTCCTTTCCAATCTTTTCCATTTGAGTGAATTCCATTCTATTCCATTCGATTCCATTCCATTTCATTCTATTCAATTTGAATCCATTACATTCAATTCCTTTCTAGTTCACTCCATAAGAGTCCACTCCAGAAGAGTCCATTACATTAAGTTCCATTACTTTACATTCGAGTCCATTCCACTCCTTTGGATTCCATTCCATTCCATTACTTTTGAGTCCATTCCATTCCATTCCTTTCCATTCCATTCCATTTCATTCCATTCCATTTCATTTGGATCCATTAAATTCCATTGCATTCAAGTCCATTCCATTCAATTCAATTCCTTTCCTTTCCATTGTACTCCAGTCCATTTCATTCCATTCCATTGGTGTCCATTCTATTCCATTCCAATTAGAATCCATGCAATTCCATTCCAATCCAACTGAGCGCAATCAATTTTAATCTGTTCAGTTCGTGTCTGTTCCATTACATTCCATTCCATTCTAGTCCATTCCATTGCATTCCATTCAATTCATTTCAAGACCATTCAATTTCATTCCATTCTATTCGAGTCCATTCCATTAAATTCCATTCGATTCCTTTCCATTCCATTCCATTCTATTCCTTTCGGGTCCATTCAATTCTGTTGCATTCCATTCGGGTGCATTCCAATCCATTCCATTCCATTCCATTCCGTTCCATTCCATTCCATTCCAATCAATTTGTGTCCATTCCGTTCCATTCGAGTCCATTTCATTCCGTTACATTCCATTCCATTCGAGTTCGTTCCATTCTGTTCCATTCCATTCCATTCGATTCCATTCATTTCCATTGCATTTCATTCGAGACCATTCCACTCCATTCCGTTTGAGTCCAATACATTCCATTCGAATCCATTCCATTCCATTGCATTTGAGTCCATTCCATTAAAATCCATTCCATTCCAGTCCATTCAATTCCATTCCTTTCGAATCCATTAAATTCCATTCCAATTGAGTGCAATCCATTCCTTTCAATTCAATTCGAGTCCATTCCATTCCATTCCATTTGTGTCCATTCCATTCAATTCCATTCGTGTCCCATTAAATTCCATTCGAGTCCACTCCATTGCTTTCCATTCCTTTTGAGTCCATTCCATTCGCGTCCATTCCAATGCATTCCATTCCATACCTTTCAAGTCAATTCAATTCCATTCCATTTCATTTGAGTCCATTCCATACCATTCCATTTGAGACCATTCCATTGCATTCCATTCCATTCGTGCCTTTTCTATTATATTCCATTCGAGTCCATTCCTTTCCATTCCATTGGAGTCTGTTACATTGAATTCCATTGTAGGACTTTCAAGTCCACTCCATTCAATTATGTTCCTTTCGTGTCCATTCCATGCCATTCGATTCCATTCGATTCCTTTCCTTTCACGTCCTTTCCATTCCAATCCATTCTATTCCATTCCATTCCCTTCCAATCCATTCCATTCGTGTCCATTCCATTCCATTCCATTCTTGTCCATTGCATTCCATTCCATTTCATTAGAGTCCATTCCATTCCATTCCATTAGAGTACATTACTGTAGATTGCAATCCAGTAAATTCCATTCTATTCCATTTTAGTCCATTCTATTCCATTCTATTCCATTCGAGTCCATTCCATTGCATTCGAGTCCTTTCCGTTCCATTCCCTTCGATTCCCATCCATTCCATTCCATTCCATTCCATTCCATTCCATTGCTTTGCATTTTATTCCATTCCTCTCCATTTCATTTCATTGCTTTCCATTTCATTCCGTTCTCTTTCATTCCATTTTATTCCATTCCATTCCTTTCCTCTCCATTCCATTCTTTTCCATTCCATTAAATTCCATTCGTGTTCATTCCGTTCCATTCCATTCCATTCCATTCGAGTCTATTCCTTTCCATTACACAGCATTCGAGTCCATTCCACAGCATTCCATTTCATTCGAGTCCTTTCCATTCATTTCCATTCCTTTCCACTTGGGTTGATTCCATTCCATTCCATTCCATTTCATTCCATTTCTTTCAAATCGATTGGATTCCGAGTCCATGCCATTCCATTCGAGTTCAATTATTTCCACTACATTCCATTCAATTCGAGTCCACTCCATACCAATACGTTCAGTTCAATTTGAGTCCATTCCATTCCATTCCATTCCATTCCATTCCATTCCATTCCATTCCGTTCCATTCCATTAGTCCTTTCCACTCCATTCAGTTCGATTCCTTTCCATTCCATTCCATTTGAGTCCATTCCTTTCTATTCCTTTCGAGTAAATTCCATTCCATTCCATTGTAGTCCATTCCATTCCATACTGTTCCATTCCACTCATCTCGATTCCATCTAATTCCATTCCATTTGAGCCCATTCCATTCCTTTCCATTCCATTTGAGCCCATTTCTTTCCATTCCATGGCATTCCACTCTAGTCGATACCATTCCATTCCATTCCAACCGAGTTCATTCCATTCCATTCGAGTCCAATCTGTTCCACTCCATTCGAGTCCATTCTATTCCATTCGAAACCATTCCATTCCATTCCATTACTTTCAAATCCATTCAATTCCATTCCATTCCATTCGGCCTCATTCCATTCCATTTCATTGCATTCCATTCCTTTGCATTCCATTCCATCACTTACGAGTCCGTTCCAATCCATTCCATTCCATTCCATTCCATTCCATTCCATTCCATTCCATCCCACTCCAATCCATTCCATTTGATTCCATTCAATTCTCAAGTGCTTTGCATTCCATTCGAGTCCATTTCATTGCATTCCATTCGAGTCCTTTCCATTCCCTTCCATTCCATTCGGAGACATTCCGTTCTATTCCATTCGAGTGCATTCAATTCCATTCCATTTCTCTCCATTGTGTTCCATTCCATTCCAATCCATTCCGTTCCATTCCATTTGGGTCCATTCTTTTTTTTCCACTCGATTCCATTCCATTCAATTCGAGTCCATCCATTCCATTCCATTAGAGTCCATTCCATTCCATTCCCTCAGAGTCCATTGCATTGCATTCCATTCCATTCCACTCCATTCCATTCTTTTCCATTCCTTTCTGGTCCCTTCAATTCAACTGCATTCCATTCGAGTGCATTCCATTGTATTGCATTCCATTACTTTCCATTCCATTCCGTTCCATTCAATTCCATTCGAGTCCATTGCATTGCATTCCTTTCGAGCTTATTTCATTCCATTACATTCCATTCCATTCGAGTTAATTCTATCCCCTTATGTCCCATTCCTTTTGAGTCCATTCCATTCCATAGCTTTCCATTCCATTCGGTTGCACTCCATTCCTTTCCTTTCGAGTCCGTTTCATTCCATTCGAATCCAATCCATTCCATTCGAGTGCTTTCCATTTTTTACATTCGAGTCCATTCCATTAAATTCCATTCCATTGCATTCCTTTTGATTCCATTCTATTAAATACCATTCCATTCCATTCGTGTCCATTCCACTGCATTCCATTCGAGTCCATTCCATTGCATTCCATTCCATGAGAGTCCATTCGTTTCTTTTCCATTCGAGATGATTCCATTCCATTCCTTTCAAGTGCATTCAATTCCATTCCATTTCATTTAACTCTAGTCGACCCCATTCCATTCCATTCCATTTTATTCCATTCCCTTCCATTCTATTCCATTCTAGTCTATTCTATTCCATTACATTACATTCGTTTCGAGTCCATTAAATTCCATACCATTCCATTCCTTTCCATTCCACTCCATTCCATTCCGTTACTTTCCATTCAACTCCATTCTACTCCATTCGAGCCCATATCGTTGCATTCCATTGGAGTCTATTCCATTACGTTCCATTGCATTCAGAGCCATTCTATTTTATTCTATTCGAGTCCATTCAATGCAATTCCATTCCTTTCCATTCAAGTCCATTAAACTCCATTCGACTCCATTCCATTCCATTCCATTCAGGTCAATTCCATTCCATTTCATTCAGGTCCATTCCACTGTATTCCATTCTATTCCATTCAAGTCCATTCCATTCCAGTCCATTCCATTCCATTTCATTCCATTCCAGTCCACTCCTTTCAATTCGAAACCATTCCATTCCATTCCGTTCGATTACAATACATTTCATTCTGTTCTATTCCACTCGATTCCTTTCCATTCCTTTGCATTCCATTGCATTCCTCTCCATTGCATTCCATTCCATTCCATTGCGATCCATTCTCTTCCGTTCCATTCCACTCTATTCCATTCCATTCCATTCGAGCACATTTCATTCCATTACATTGCATTCAATTCGAGTTCATTCCATTCCGTTATATTGCATTCCATTCGACTTCATTAAATGCCATTCAATCCCATTCGAGTCCATTTCATTCCATTCCGTTTGAGTCCTTTCCATTCTATTTGAGTCCGTTCCATTCCATTGCATTCGAGTACATTGCATTCTATGTTATTCCATTTGAATCCGTTCTATTCGATTCCATTGCAGTCCATTCCATTCAAACCCATTTTATTCCACTGCATTCTATTCCATTCCGTTCTATTCCATTCTATTTGAGCCCACTCTATTCCATTTTATTCCATCCCATTCCACTCCATTCCATTCAGGTGCACTCCATTCAATTCCATTTGAGTCAAATCCGTTCCATTCCATTCGAGTCCATTCCAGTGCATTGCATTCCATTCGAGTCCATTCCATTGTATTCCATCCCATTCTTTTCAAGTCCATTCCATTCCATTCCATGCAATTCAAGTCCATTCCATTGCAGTCCATTCCCTTCGTGTCTGTTCTATTCGACTCCAATCCATTCCATTCCATTAGATTCCGTTAGAATAAATTTCACTGTATTCAATTCGTGTCCATTCCATTCCATTCCATTCCATTCCATTACATTCTAGTCCATTGCATTCCATTCGAGTCCATTCCATTCCATTCCACTCTGGTCCAATCCAATCCAATTCTTTCAAGTCCATTCAATTGCGTTCCATTCTATTTCATTCAAGTGTATTCCGTTCCATTCCATTGCAGTCCAGTCCATTCCAATCCATTCCATTCCATTCCATTCCATTCCATTCCATTCATGGCCATTCCATTCCATTCCATTCCATTCGTAACCATTCCATTGCTTTCCCTTCGATTAAAATCCATTTCATTTTATTCTATTCCATTCGATTCCATTCCATTGCATTGCATTCCATTCCATTCCTCTCCATTGCATAACATTCCAATCCATTCCAATCTACTCCATTCCATTCCAATCCATTCCATTTGGGTCAATTCCATTCCATTCCATTCGAGTCCATTCCATTCCATTCCATTCCATTCAATTCCATTCCATTCCATTCATTTCGAGTCCATTCCATTCAACTTTATTCCATTCGAGTCTTTTCCTTTCCAATCCATTCCAATGCATTCCATTGCATTCGAGTCTATTCCATTCCATTCCATTCCATTCGAGTCCATTTCATTCCATTAACTTCCATTCCATTGGAGTCCATTCCATTCCGTTACATTCCATTCCTTTTGAGTCCATTGAATTCCGTTCCTTTCCATTTGAATCCATTGCAATCCATTCCATTCGAGTGCAATCCATTCCATTCCCTTTGATTCCATTCCTTTCTATTACATTCAAATCCATTCCATTCCATTCCATTCCATTCCATTCCATTCCATTCCATTCCATTCCATTCCATTGTGTTCCATTCCAGTCTATTTCATTCCATTCCATTCCTTTCAATTTGTGTCCATTCCATTCCGTTCCATTCTGGTCCATTACATTCCATTCGAGTCCATTCTTTTCCATTCCATTCAAGTCCATTCCATTAAATTCCTTTCAATTCCATTACATCCTAGTCCATTGAATTCCATTCCATTCCATTCCATTCGATTCCATTCCATTCCATTTGTGTCCATTCCATTCCATGCCATTCCACTAGATTATTTTCCTTTCTATTCCATTCGAGTCCATTCCATTATATTCCATTCCATTCCTGTTCATTCCATTACATTCTACTCCATTCCATTCTGTTCCATTCAAGTGAACTCCAATCCCTTCCTTTGCATTCGAGTTCGTTCCATTCCATTCCATTCCATTCCATTCCATTCCAATCGAGTCCATTGCATTGCATTCCATTCCACTCGAGTCCATTTTACTCCATTCCATTCGAGTCCAATCCATTCCTTTCGATTCTGGTCCATTCCATTCCATTTCATTCGAATCCCATTCATTCCATTCCATGCTTTTCTATTCAAGTCCATTCCATTCCATTCCATTCATTCCATTCCATTCCATTCCATTCCATTCCAGTCCATTTCATTCCACTCCATTCCATTCCATTCGAGTAAATTCCATTCCATTCCATTTGACAACTTTCCATTCCATTCTATTGCATTCGAGTCCATTCCATTCTTTTCCATTAGAGTCCATTCCATTAGAGTCCAATCCGGTAAATTATATTCTATTTCATTTGACACCGTCCCATTCCACTCCATTGCATTTGAGTCCATTCCACTCCATTTGAGTCCATTCCATTCAATTCCATTGGATTCCAATCCATTCCATTCCATTCCATTCTATTCCATTCAGGTCCTTTTCATTCCATTCCATTGTATTTCTGTTCATTCCATTGCATTACATTCCTTTCTGGTCCATTCTTCCTCATTACATTACATTCGAGGCCATTCCTTTCGATTCTGGTCCATTCCATTCCATTTCATTCGAGTCCCATCCATTCCATTCCATGCTTTTCTATTCAAGTCCATTCCATTCCATTCCATTCCATTCCATTCCATTCCATTCCAATCATTCCATTCCATTCCATTCCAGTCCATTTCATTCCACTCCATTCCATTCCATTCGTGTAAATTCCATTCCATTCCATTTGACACTTTTCCATTCCATTCTATTGCATTCGAGTCCATTCCATTCTTTTCCTTTAGAGTCCATTGCATTAGAGTCCAATCCGGTAAATTATATTCTATTGTATTCGACACCGTCCCATTCCACTCCATTCCATTTGAGTCCATTCCACTCCATTCGAGTAGATTCCATTCAATTCCATTTGATCCAATCCATTCCAATTCATTCCATTCTATTCCATTCATGTCCTTTTCATTCCATTCCATTGTATTTCAGTCCATTCCATTGCATTACATTCCTTTCTGGTCCATTCTTCCTCATTACATTACATTCGAGGCCATTCCATTCCATTCGAGTACATTCCATTCCATTCCATTCCGTTCTATTCCATTCCATTCGAGTCCATTCCATTCCATTCGAGTTCCATCCATTCCATTCCGTTCCATTCGTGTCCATTCCAATCCATTTCACTTGGGTACATTCCATTTCATTCCATTCTATTCAATTCAAGAACATTCCATTCCAAACAATTCCATTCTATTCCAGTCCATTTCATTCCTTTCCATTCCATTCCATTCCATTCCAATCCACTCGTCCCATTGCTTTCCATTCCATTGGATTCCATTCCTTTCCATTCCATTTCATTCCATTCCATCCCATTACATTCGAGTGCATTCCATTCCATGCCATTCAATTCGAGTCCGTTCCATTCCATTCCTTTCCATTCCATTCCATTCCGTTCCGTTACTTTCCTTTCCATTCGAATCCATAGTATTCTATTCCATTCGATTCCATTCCATTCCATTCCCTTCAAGTCCATTCCATTTCATTCCATTCCATTCCATTCGAGTCCGTTACCTTCCATTCCATTCCGTTCGAGTCCATTAGATTCCATGCCATTCCATTCCATTCGAGTCCGTTACCTTCCCTTCCATTCCGTTCGAGTCCATTCGATTCCATGCCATTCCATTCGAGTCCGTTCCATTCCTTTCCATTCCATTATATTCGGGTCCAGTACATTCCATTCCTTTCGAGTACTTTCCATTGCATTCCATTTCCTTTGAGTCCACTCCATTCCCTTCCATTCCACTTGAGTTGATTCAATTCCATTCCATTCTATTCTAGTTCATTCCATTGCATTCAAGTCCATTCCATTCCATTCCGTTCCATTCCATTCCATTCCATTCCTTTCCATTCCATTCCTTTCAAGTCCATTCCATTCAACTGCATTCCATTGGATTCCATTCCATTCCATTCCATTCCATTCCATTCCATTCCATTCCATTCGAGTCCATTCTATTCCATTTCGGTCCGTTCCATTCCATTCAATTCGATTCCATTCCATTCCATACCTTTATAGTCCATTCAATTCCATTCCATTCCATTAGAGTCCCTGCCATTCCATTGTATTAGATTCCAATCCGTTAGTGTCCATTCTATTAAATTCCATTCCTTTCTATTCGAGGCCATTCCATTCAATTCGAGTCCTTTCCATTCCATTCCCTTCAAATCCATTCCTTTCCTTTCCTTTCTATTCCATTCAACTCCATTCCATTCTATTCCATTGCATTCCTTTATAGTCCATTCAATTCCATTCCATTCCATTAGAGTCCATGCCGTTCCATTCTATTAGATTCCAATCCATTAGTGTCCATTCTAGTAAATTCCATTCCATTCTATTCGAGGCCATTCCATTCAATTCTAGTCCTTTCCAATTCATTCCCTTCGAATCCATTCCTTTCTATTCCATTCAACTCCATTCCATTCCATTCCATTGCATTCCATTGCAGTCCATTCCATTCTTTTCAATTCGGGTCCATTCCGTTCCATTCCATTTTGGTCCATTCCATTCCATTCGAGTCCATTCTATTCCATTCTATTGCATTCCATTGCATTATATTCGTGTCCATTCCATTCCATTCGATTGAATTCCATTATATTGAATTCAAGTCCATTCAATTCCATTAAATTCGAGCCCTTTCCATTATATTCCATTCGTTTCAAATCCATTCCATTCTATTGCTTTTGAGTACATTCCATTCCATTAGAGTCCGTTCATTAAATTAAATTCCATTCCATTCCATTGCATTCCCTTTGAATCCATTCCATTCCATTCCATTCCATTTTATTCCGTTCGAATCCATTCCATGCATTTCCATTCCATTCCATTACATTTCATTGGGTTCCATTCCATTCAATTCCTTTCGAGTTCTTTCCATTCCATTCCACTCGGGTCCATTACTTTCCATTCCATTCCATTCCATTAAATCCATTCCATTCCTTTTGAGTCCCTTCAATTCAATTGCATTCAATTCGAGTCCATTTCATTCCATTCCATTCCCTTTCACTTGAGTCCATTTCTTTCCATTCAATTCGAGTCCATTTCATTCCGTTACATTCCATTCCATTCGAGTCCATTCCATTCCATTCCATTCCATTGGAGTCCATCCGAATCCATTCCATTGAAGTCCATTCCATTCCACTCCATTCTGTTCATATCCATTCCATTTTCTTCCATTCAAGTCCATTTTATTCCATTCCATTTCAGTCCATTCCATTCAATTCCATTTCATTCCATTCGAGTCCATTCCATTCCATTCCATTTGGTTCGAGTCCATTCCATTCCAGTCGTGTCCATTCCATTCCATTCCATTAGCATCCATTCCATTCCATTGTATTCCATATGTGTCCATTCCATTTCATTCCATTCATGATAATTCCATTCCAACACTCTCGATTCCATTTCATTGCATTCCATTCCTTTTGATTCCGTTCTGTTCTATTCTAATCGACTCCATTCCATTCCATTCCAATTCAGTCCATTCCCTTTCATTCCATTGTATTCCATTCGAGTCTATTCCATTCCATTCGATTGCAGTCGAGTTCATTCCATTCCATTCGATTCCATTCTATTGCCTTCAATTCAAGTCCATTGCATTCCATCCAATTCCATTCGAGACAATTGCATTCCATTCCATTCGAGTTCATTCGTTTGCATTCCATTATATTCGGGTCCATTCCTTTACATTCCATTCGAGTCCATTCCATTGCATTCAATTCCATTCCTTTCGAGTCCATTCAATTCTATTCCATTCCATTCCTATCCATTCCATTCCATTCCATTCCATTCCATTCAAGTCCATTCCATTGCATTCCATTCCATTCGAGTCCTGTGTATTCCATTCCATTCAAGTCCGTTCCATTGCATTCCATTCCTTTCCTTTCGGATCAATTCAATTCCATTCCATTACATTCTTGTCCTTTCTACTTGAGTCCATTCCATTGCATTCCATTCCATTCAAATCCATACTATTCTATTCCATTCGAGTCTATTCCATTCAATTCCGTTCAAGTCCATTCCATTCTATTCCATTAGAGTGCCTTCCATTCCTTTACATTAGTGTTCATTCTATTAAATTCCATTGTATTCCATTTGAGTCCATTCTATTCTATTTCATTTCATTCGTGTCCATTCCATTCCATTTGGGTCCATTCCATTCCATACCTTTTTTCCATTCATGTATATTTTATTCCAATCCATTCCATTCCAGTCCGTATCATTCCATTCCATTCCATACCATTCCTTTCCATTCCATTGTATTCCATTTGTGGCCATTCCTTTCCATTCCATTCAACTCCATTCCATTATGTTTCATTGCATTTGATTCCAGTCCATTCCATTCCCTTCCATTCGAGTCCGTTTCATTCCATTCCATTCCATTCCATTACATTTGGGTCCATTCAGTTATTTTGACTCCAGTCTATTTCATTTCATTGTATTCCACTTTAATCGTTTCCATTCCATTCAATTTCATGCGAGTCCACTCTATTCCATTTGAGTCCATTCCATGCCATTCTATTCGAGTCTATTCCATTCCATTCCATTCCATTCCAATCCTTTCCATTCCTTTGGAGTCCATTCCATTCCATTCCACTCTATTCCATACCATTCCATTCTATTCAAGTCCATTTCCTTCCATTGCATTCCATTCCATTCGAGTCCATTCCATACAGTTACATTCTTTTTTATTCGAGTCCATTCAATTCCATTGCATTCCAGTCGATTCCATTCCACTACATTCCATTCAAGTTCATTCGATTCCTTTCCATTCCATTTCATTCCACTAGAGTCGATTTCATTCCATTGTATTCCATTCCATTCACGAACATTCCATTCCTTTCCAATCAAGTCCATTCCATTCCTTTCCATTCCATTAGAATCGGGTCGATTTCATACCATTTCATTCTATTCCAGTTCTTTCCCTTCCATTCGTGCCCATTCTAGGCCATTCCATTAGAGTCCATTACATTTCATTTCATTCCATTCCATTGCATTCCATTCCATTCCATTCCTTTCAAGTCCATTCAATTCCATTCCATTCCGTTCACCTCCATTCCGTTCCATTCCCTTCCTTTCCCTTCCATTCCATTCCATTCCATTCCATTCGATTCGGGTCCATTCCATCCCATTCAATTCGATTCCATTTCATTAAATTCCGTTCCATTCCATTCCATTCAATTCCACTCCATTCCCATCCATTCCATTCCATTCCATTCGAGTCCATTACATTTCATTCTAATACATTATATTCAGGTCCATTAAATTCCATTCCTTTCAAATCTATGCCACTTCATTTCATTCCATTCAAGTCCATTCCTTTTCATTCCTTTTCATTCCATTCGAGTCCATTCCATAACATTCCATTCCATTCGAGTCCGATCCATTCCATTTCATTCCATTGGAGTACATTCCATTCCATTCTATTCCATTCCGTTCCATTCCATTCCATTCCATTCGAGTCCATTCCATTCCATTCCGTTTCATTCAGTTCCTTTCCATTCCATTCCATTGAAGTCCATACCATTCCATTGCTTTCCTTTCGAGTCCATAACTTTCCATTCCATTGGCGTACAATGCATTCCATTAAATTCTATTCCATTCAAGGAATTCCATTCCATTTCATTCTATTCCATTCCCCTACAGTCAATTCCATTCCATTCGATGCCATTCCATTCTATGCGGGTCCATTCCATTCCATTCGATTCTATTCCTTTTCTTTCTTTTCAATTCGACTCCATTCCTATACATTCCATTCCACTCAAATCCATTCCATTCCATTGCATTTCATTCCATTCCATGCCATTGCATTCGAGTCCATTCCATTCCGTTCCATTCGAGTCCAGTGCATTCCATTCCATTCGAGTCCATTTCGTTGCATTACATTCCTTCCCTTTCGACAACATTCAATTCTATTACATTGTGTTTGAGTCCCTCCCATTTGATTCTATTGTATTGCATTCCATTCCATTGGATTCCTTTCCATTCTATTTCATTCGTCTCCATTCCATTTCTATCCATTAGTGTCTTTTCCTTTAAATTCCGTTGCATTCCATTTGAGTCAGTTCTATTACATTCCTTTACATTCGTGTCCATTCCATTCCACACGAACCGATTCCATTCCATTACTTTCGAGTCCATTCAATTCCATTCCATTCTTTTCCAAACTAGTCCATTCCATTCCTTTCCATTCCATTCCATTCCATTCCGTTCCATTCTGTTCCGTTCCGTTTCATTCCATTCCATTACAATCCATTCCAGTCCATTCCATTCCATTCCATTCTGTTCCGTTCTGTTCCGTTCCGTTACATTCCATTCCATTCCATGCCTTTCCATTCCATTCAATTTGGGTACGTTTCTTTCCATTCCATTCGATCCCAATCCAATCAATGTGAGTCCACTCCATACCATTCCATTTGAGTACGTTCCATTCCTTTCCGTTCGAATCCATTCCATTCCATTCTATTCCATTGAAGTCCATTACATTCCATTCAAGTCCATTCCATTCCCTTCCATTCCTTTCGATTCTACTCCATTCTATTCCATTTGACTCCATTGCAGTTCATTCTTTTGAGTGCATTCTATTCCATTTCATTTTAGTCGATTCTATTCTATTCCATTCCTTTCGACACCACTCCATTCCATTCGATTTCATTCCATTCAATTCCATTTGAGTCCATTCCATTCCAGTCCATTCCATTCCATTGCAATCCATTCGATTCCTTCTAGTCAATTCAATTCAATTGCATTCCATTGGAGTCCATTCCATTCGAGTCCATTCCATTTCATTGTATTTCATTCCATTCCATTCAAGTCCATTTCTTTGCCTTACACTGCATTCCATTCGCGTCCATTCCATGCCATTGCATTCCATTCCATTCGAGTCCTTTCAATTCAATTCGTTTCCATTGTAGTCCATTCCTTTCCATTACATTCCATTCCATTCGTATCCTTTCAATTCCATTCCATTCTAGACCATTCTACTCCATTCCATTCAAGTCCATTAAATTCCACTGCATTCAATTCAACTCCATTCCATTCTATTCCATTCGAGTGCATTCCATTTCATTTCATTTGAGTCCATTCCATTCCATTCCATTCCATTCGAGCCCTTTCCATTCTATTCCATTTGAGTACTTTCCATTCCATTCTATTCCATTGATTTCCTTTCCATTCCATTCAGTTCCACTCCATTTCATTCCATTCGAATCCATTCCACTCCATTCCATTCCATTCGGGTCCATTCCATTCCATTCCATTCCTTTCAAGTCCATTCCAATGCATTCTATTCCATTTTAGTCGATTCGATTCGATTCCATTCCATTCGAGTCCATTCCTTTCCATTTGTGTCCATTCCATTCCATTCTATTTGAGTCCATTCCATTCAAGTCCATTCCATTCCATTCAAATCCATTCGATTCCTTTCGAGTGCATTCCATTCAATTGCATTTCACTGGAGTCCATTCCATTCAATTCCATTCCATTTAATTCGAGTCCATTCCATTTCATTGCATTGCATTCCATTCCATTCGAGTCCTTTTCTTTGCATTACATTGCATTCCATACGAGTCCATTCCATGCCATTCCATTCCATTCCATTCGAGTACTTTCAATTCAATTCCATTCCATTATACTCTATTCCATTCCGTTACATTCCATTCCATTCGAGTCCTTTCAATTCCATTCTATTCCATTCTAGTCCTTTCTACTTCATTTCATTCAAGTCCATTCCATTCCGCTGCATTCCATTCGAGTCCATTCCATTCTATTCCATTCGATTACATTCCACTTCATTCCATTCGATTCAGTACCACTCTATTCCTTTCGTGTCAATTCCGTTCCTTTCTATTCCATTTGATTCCATTCCATTCCATTCCACTCAAATCAATTCCATTTCAACCCATTCGATTCCATTTCATTCCCTTCCATTCCTTTCGATTCCATTCCTTTCTATTCCCTTTGAGTAAATTCCATTCCATTTCATTATAGTCTATTCCATTGCATTCCATTCCATTCGAGTCCATTCCATTCCATTCCTTTCGAGCCCATTCCACTTCATTCTATTGTATTCCTTTCAACTCCTTTCCGTTCCATTCCATTGCTTTCATGTCCATTCCATTCCCTTCTAGTCCATTACATTCAAGTCCATTCCATTCCATTCTATTACTTTTGAATCCGTTATATTCCATTCAATTTCATTCGAATAAATTCGAATCAACTCAATTCAAGTCAATTAAATTGCATTCCATTCCATTCGGGTCCAATCTTTTCCATTCCATTTGAGTCCATTCCATTGAATTCCATTCCATTCCTTTCAAGGCCATTCTATTGCATTCCGTTCCTGTCGAGTGCATTCTATTCCATTCCAATCCATTCGAGTCCTTTCCTTTGTATTCCATTCCATTCGAGTCCATTCCATTCTATTCCTTTTGAATCCATTCCATTCCATTCCATTATGTTCCGTTCCATCAAGTTCCACTGTATTCCATTCAAGTCCATTCCATTCCATTCCATTCCATTCCATTCCAGTGTATTGCATTCCGTTCCATTCCATTCCATTCCATTCCATTCCATTCCACTCCATTCCACTCCATTCCATTCCACTCCATTCCATTCCATTCCATTCCTTTCCATTCCATTGCTTTCCATTCCTTTCGGATCCATTCAATTCCGTTTTATTCAAGTCCATTCCATTCAATTCCATTGCATTGAATTCCATTCCATTCCATTGCATTCCATTCCATTTGGGTCCGTTCCTTTCCATTCCATTTGTGTCCATTCCATTCCATTCCATTCCATTCCATTCCATTCCATTCGAGTCCATTCTCTTTCATTCCATTCCACTCGATTTTTTCCATTCCAATCCATTCCATTCGAGTCCTTTCCATTCCGTTCCTTTCGAGTCCATTCCATTCCATTCTATTCTCTTCCATTTCATTCCCTTCAAGTCCGTTCCATTCCATTCCATTCAAATCCATTCCAATCCATTCCATTGTATTCCATTCGAATCCATTCCATTCCATTCCATAGCATTCCATTTCATTACTTTCTAGTCCATTCAATTGGATTTTATTCCACTCGAGTCCATTCCATTCCATTCTACACGAATCCATTCCATTCCATTCTATTCTGTTTTTTCGATTCCATTTCATTCCATTCCATTCCGTTATAGTCCATTCCATTCCATTCGAGTCCATTCCTTTCCAAATCATTCAAGTGCATTCCATTCCGTTCCATTCCTTTTTGTTCTGTTCCATTCCTTTGTATTCGAGTCCATTCCATTCCATTTCATTAAATTCGATTCCAGTCCATTTCATTCCTTTCCATTTGAGTCCGTACCATTCCATTCCATTCGATTAAACTTGGGTCGATTCCATTCCATTCCATTCGAGTCCATTCCATTCCATTCAATTCCATCCTATTGCATTACATTAGAGTCCATTCTATTCCATTCCATTTCATTCCATTCCATTCCATTCCATTCCATTCCATTCAAGGTTGGTCCATTCCATTCCATTCCATTCGAGTCCATTCGATTGCATTTGATTCCATTCCATTAAATTCCTTTAAATTTCATTCGAGTCCTTTCAATTACATTGGAATAAATTCCATTCCATTCCCTTCGAGTCCATTCCATTCCATCCCATTCATTTCCATTCAAGTCCATTCCATTCCATTTTATTCCATTCCATTCAAGTCCATTCCATTCCAATCCATTCGTGTCTTTTCCATTCCATTTCATTCCACTCGAGTCGTTTCCATTCCATTCCATTCCATTCCATTCGGGTCCATTCCATTCCATTTGAATCCATTCCATTTCATTCAGGTCCATTCCATTCCATTTAATTCTATTCCATTGTATTCCGTTCGAGTTCATTCCATTGCATTCCATTCTAGTACATTCCATTACATTCCGCTCTATTCCATTTGAGTCCATTCCATTCCATTCGAATCCATTCCATTCCGTTCGAGTCCATTCCATTCTAATCCATTCCACTCCATTCGATTCCTTTCTATTCCATTTCAGTCCATTCCATTCAATTCCATTCCATTCCAAACCATTTCATTAGATTCCATTGCATTCCATTCCTTTCGAATCCATTCAATTCTATTCCATTCCATTTGAGTCCAATCCATTGTATTCCATTCGATTCGAGTTCATTCCATTCCATTCCGATTGAATCTATTCCATTCCTTTCCATTGCATTCTATTCCATTCTGTTACATTCGAGTCCGATACACTCCATTGCATTCCATTCGTGTCCATTCCATTCCATTCCATTGCATTCCATTTGGGTCCATTGCTTTCAATTCCGTTCAAGTCAATTCCATTCCATTCCATTCGAGTCCATTCCATTCCACTCCATTCCATTACGGTCCATTACATTAAATTCCGTTGTATTCCATTCCATTCTATTGCATTCCATTCTTGTCAATTCCATTCAGTTAGAGTCCATTCCCTTCCTTTTAAATCCATTCCTTTCCATTACATTCTATTCCACTGAAGTCCATTATATTCCATACCATTCCATTCCATTCCAATCCATTCCATTCCATTCCGTTCCAGTCCTTTCCATTCTTTTCCATTCGATTCCATTCCATTGCATTCCATTCCATTCTTTTCGGATGCAATGCATTCCATTCCGTTCCATTCCATTCGCATACATTCCTTTCCATTCCGTTCCATTCCATTCGCATACATTCCTTTCCATTCCGTTCCATTCCATTCCACACGAATCCAATCTATTCCTTTCCATTCGAGTCCATTCAATTGCATTCCATTCCATTCGATTCCATTCCACTATATTCCATTTGAGTCCGTTCCATTCCATTCATGTCCATTCCTTTACATTTGACTCCATTGTATTCTATTCCGTTCATGTGAATTCCAATCAATTCTATTGCATTGGATTCCATTCCATTCCATTCAATTCGAGTCATTTCTATTCCTTTTCATTCCATTCGAGTCCATTGCATTCCATTCCATTCCACTCGAGCCTATTGCACTCCATTACTTATGAGACCATTCCATTCAATTTCATTCAAGTCCATTCCATTCCGTTTGTGTCCATTTCATTCCGTTTTTTCGAGTCATTTCCATTCCATTCATTCCATTCCATTCCATTCCAGTCCATTTCATTCCAATCCATTCCATTCCATTCCATTCCATTCGAGTCCATTCCTTTCCACTCCATTCAAATCCATTCCATTGCATTCTATTTCATTCGTGTTCTTTGCATTCCTTTGTATTACAGTCAATTCCATTCCATTCAATTACATTCCACTCGCGTCGATTCCATACCATTCCATTCGAGTTCTTTACTTTCCATTCGAGCCCATTCCTTTCCATTCCATTCGAGTCCATTCCATTCCATTCCATTCCATTCCATTCCATTGCATTCCTGTCCATTCCATTCCTTTCAATTCCATTCAATTCCATTCCATTCCGTTTGAGTGCATTCCATTCCTTTCCAATCCATTCAATTCGAGTCCATTCCATTCCTTTCCATTCCATTCCATTAGAGTCCATTCCATTCCATTACTTTCCTGTCCTGTCCATCTCATTCCATTCCATTCGAGTCCAATCCATTCCCTTAAATTCCACTCGAGTCATTTCCATTCCATTCCATTAGAATCCTTTCCATTCCTTTCGATTCCATTCCATTCCATTCCATTCCATTCCATTCCATTCCATTCCTTTCCATTCCTTTCGAGCCCATTCAATTCAGTTGCATTCCACTCGAGTGGACTCCATTCCATTCTATTCCATTGCATTCCATTAGAGTCCATTCCTTTACATTCCATTTCATTTGAGTAAATTTCATTCCATTACCTTACGTTCCTTTTGAGTATATTCCATTGCATTCCATTCTATTCCATTCTATTCGAGTCCATTCATTTCCATTCCATATTATTTGTTCCAAGTGCACTCCATTCTTCTCCATTCCATGCCAGTCCCTTCTATTCCACACCATTCCATTCGAGTCAATTCCATTCCATTCCATTCAAGTCCATTTCACTCAATTCCGTTTGAGTCAATCCCTTTCCATTCCATTTGAGTCCATTCCATTGCATTCCATTACTTTCGAGTCAATTCCATTCCATTCCCATCGATTCCATTTCATTAAAGTCCATTCTGTTAAATTTCATTCCCTTTCCTTCGAGTCCATTCCATTCCATTCCATTCCATTCGAGTACATTCTATTCCATTTTCTTTGATTGCTTTCCATTCCATTCCGTTATAGTCCATTGAAGTCCATTCCTTTCCTTTTCATTAAATTCCATTCTAGTCAATTCCTTTCCATTCCGTTCCATTGCATTCTGTTCGATTCCATTCCACTCCATTCAATTCCATTCGAGTAAATTTCATTATATTACCTTCCATTCAATTCGAGTACATTCCATTCTGTTACATTCCTTTCTTTTCGAGTTCATTCATTTCCATTGCAATCAAATCGTTTGCAATGTACTCCATTCCATTCGAGTCCATTCCGTTCCACTCCATTCCATTCAAGTCCATTCCATTCTATAACATTTCAATCCTTTCCATTCCATTACATTCGAGTCCATTCGATTCCATTTTATTCGAGTCCATTCCATTGCATTCCATACCGTTTGATTACATTCCATTAATTTCCATTCGAGTCCATTCAATTCCAATCCATTCCATTTGATTCCGTTCCATTTTATTCCTTTCATACCCATTCCATTCCTTTCCATTCCATTTCATTGCATTCCATTCCTTCCCATTCTATTCCATTCCATTCCATTCAATTCCATTCAATTCCATTCAGGTCCAATCCATTCAATTCCATTGGAGTCAATTGCATTCCATTCCATTCGAGTCCTTTCCATTGCATTGCATTCCAATCCTTTCTAGTCCATTCAATTCCATTTCATTCCATTCGAATCCATTCCATTCTATTTTGTTCGAGTCCATTCCATTGCACTCCATTCCATTCGAGTCCAGTGCATTTTAGTCCATTTTTGTCCACGCCGTTCCATTCCATTAGAGTCCATTCCATTAAATTTCGTTGTACTTCTTTCGAGTCCATTCCATTCCATTCCTTTCCATTTGAGTCCATTACAGTCTATTCCATTCCATTGCATTCCATTCCATTCCTTTCCATTCCATTCCATTCCGTCCGAGACTATTCCATCCCATTCGAGTCAATTTCATTCCATTTCTTCCCACTCACATCGAGTCAATTCTACTCCATTCTTTCGATTCCATTCCACTCCAATCCGTTGGAGTCCATTGCATTCCACACAATTCCATTTGAGTCCATCCCATTCTATTCCATTCTTGTCCATTCCATTCAATTCCATCCGAGTACATTCCATTCCATTCCATTCCATTCAGGTCCTTTCCATTCCATTCAATTTGAGTCCATTCCACTGCATTCCATTCCAGTCTGTCTGAGACCATTCCATTCCATTCTATTAGATTCCGTTCGAGGCGATTTCATTCCATTACCTTCCATTCAAGTCGTATCCATTCAATTATAATCCATTCGAGTCCATTCCACTCCATTCCATTCGAGTCCATTCCATTCCACACCATTCCCTTCAAGTCCATCCCATTCTGTTCCATTCGAGTCCATTCCAGTCAGTTCCATTCGAGTCAGTTCTGTTCCATTCCATTTGAGTCCATTCCATTCCATTGCATTCCATTACATGCGAGTCTATTCCATTCTATTCCATTCCATTCTATTCCTTTCCATTCCATTCCATTCCATTAGATTCCATTCCATTAGAGTGCATTCCATTAAATTCCATTCCATTCAATTCGAGTCCATTCCATTTCAATCTAGTTCATTCCTTTCCATTCCCTTCAAGTGCATTCCATTCCATTCTTTTCTATTCAAATCCACTCCAATCCATTCCACTCGTCTCCATTCCAAAACATTCCATTCCATTCCATTCCATTCCATTGCATTCCATTCTATTCCATTCCATGGCATTCTGTTCCATTCCATTCCATTCCATGACATTCCATTCCATTCCAATCCATTCTATTCCATTCCACTGTGGTCCATTGTATTCCATATGATTCCATTCCTTTTCATTCCATTAGTTTTGAGTCTTTTCCATTCCAACCCATTCCATTCGAGTCCATTCCATTCCATTCCATTAGAATCCATTACATTCAGTTACATTCTAGTACATTCCATTCCATTCCGTCCTATTCTGTTCGTGTCCATTAAATTCCATTACATTCCAGACTAGTGCATTCCATTCCAGTCGATTCCATTACATTCCATTCCTTTGCGGTTCATTCCATTCCATTCTATTCCAATTGATTCGATTCCATTTCATTCTATTCCATTTGAGTCCGTTGCATACCATTCAATTCCATTAGAATCCATTCCATTCCAACCCATTTCATTCGCGGCCATTCCATTACATTCCTTTCGAATCCCTTCCATTCCATTTGATTCCAATCCATTCCATTCCATTCCATTCAGATCCACTCCACTCCATTCCATTCCATTCCATTTGAGTCCATTCCTCTGCATTCCTGTCCATTCCATTCGAGTCAATTCCATTCCAATCCATTCCATTCCATTTGATTCCATTTCATACTATTCCATTCGTGTCCATTGCATTCCATTCCATTCTAGTACATTCCATTCCATTTAATTGTGTTCTGTTAGTCTCCATTCCTTTCCATTTCATTCCATACAAGTCCGTTCCATTCCATTCCATTCCAGTCCATTCCATTCCGTTCTATTCGAATTGAGTCAGTTCTATTCCATTCTATTCCATTTGAGTCCATTCCATTCCATTCAATTCCATCAGAGTCCATTCCATTCCAACCCATTACATTCGAGTCTTTTCCTTTCCATTCTGTTCGAATCCATTCCATTCCATTCGATTCCACGTGGCTCCATTCCACTCCATTCCATTCCATTTGATTCCATTCCATTCCATTCCATTCCATTCCATTCCATTCGAGTCCAATCCATTCCATTAATTTCTATTCCATTCAAGCTCATTCGATTCCATTCCGTTCCATTTCATTTCATTCCATTCCATTCCAATCCAGTGCATTCCATTCCATTCCATTCCAGTACAGTCCATTCCATTCCATTCGAATCCATTCCATTCTTTTCATGTCCATTCCTTTCCATTCGTTTCCATTGGAGTCCATTCCATTCCATTCCATGCCTTTCGAGTACATTCCATTCCATTCCAGTCAATGCCATTCCATTCGCTTCAATTCCATTCTATTCCATTCCGTTCCATTTGAGTCCTTTCCATTCCTTTCGAGTCCGTTTCAATCCATTACATTCCATTCAAATTGACTCCATTCAATTCCATTCCATTCGTGTCTGTTCCACTCCATTTCATTCGAGTCTGTTCAATTCCACATCATTCCCTTTGTGTCCATGCCATTCTGTTCAACTAGAGTCCATTTCAGTCAATTCCTTTTGACTCAATTCCATTCCATTCCATTTAAGTCCATTCCATTGCATTCCATTCCATGCGACTCTATTTCATTCCATTCCATTCAATTCGATTCCATTCCATTCCATTGGACTCTATTCCAAAGAGTCCATTCCATTAAATTCCATTCCATTCCATTCCAGTCCTTTCCATTCCATTCGAGTCCATTCCTTTCCATTCAATTCAAGTCTGTTCCATTCAATTCCATTCAAATACACTTCATTCAATTCCACTCATCTCCGTTCCACTACATTCCCTTCCATTCCACTCAATTCCATTCCATTTCATTCCATTCCATTCTATTCCATTCCATTCCTTTCTATTACATTCCATTCTATTCCATTCCATGGTATTCCATTCCATTCCATTCCATTCCATTCCATTCCATTCCATTCCATTCCAGTTGACTCCATTCCATTCCATGCCCTTGCATTCCTTTCCATTCCATTCCATTCCATTAAATTCCATTGCATTCCTTGCCATTCGTTTCCTTTCTAATCGGGTGGATTCCATTCCATTCCATTCCATTCCATTCCTTTCCTTTCCATTCTTCTCGGGTTGATTCCATTTCATTCCATTCCATTCCATTCCATTCCATCCCATCCCATTGCATTCCCTTCCATTCCACTCGTGTTGATTCCATTCCATTCCATTTCATTCCATTCCATTCCACTTGCTTTGATTCCATTCCATTGCATTCCATTCCATTCCATTCCACACCATTCCATACCATTTCATTGCATTCCGTTCCATTCCCTCGGGTTGATTCCATTCCATTCCATTCCATTAATTTCCATTCCATTCCATTCCACTCGGGTTGGTTCCATTCCATTCCATTCCGTTGCACTCGTGTGAAGTCCATTCCATTCCATTCCATTCCATTCCATTCCATTCCATTCCATTCCATTCCAATCCATTCCAATCCATTCCATTCCACTTGGGTGGATTCCATTCCATTCCATTCCATTCCATTCCATTCCATTGCATTCCATTCCATTCCATTCCAATCCATTCCATCCAATTTCACTTGATTTTATTCCCTTCCATTCCTTTTCAATCCATTCCATTGCATTCCATTCCATTCTATTCCATTTCGTTCCAGTCCATTCCACTCCATTCCATTCCATTCGAGTTGATTCCATTCCATTCCATTCCATTCCATTCCATTCCATTCCATTGTATTCCATTCCATTCCATTCCAGTCGGTTTGACTCCATTTCATTCCATTCCATTGCATTCCATTCCATTCCAGTCCAGTCGGGTTGATTCCATTGCATTCCATTCCATTCCATTCCTTTCCATTCCATTCCCTTCCATTCCAGTAGGGATGACTCCATTCCTTTCCATTCAATTGCATTGCATTCCATTCCATTTCATTCCATTCCTATCGGGTTGATTCCATTACATTCGAATCCACTACATTCCACGCAGGTTGATTCAAAACCATTTGATTCCATTCAATTCCATTCCATTCCATTCCATTCCATTCCTTTCCATTCCATTTCATTCCATTACATTCCACCCGGGTTGATTCCATTCCATTCCATTCCATTCCATTCCATTCCATTCCATTCCATTCCATTCGATTCCTTTCCATTCCATTCCATGCCATTGCTTTCCATTCCATTCCATTCTTTCCATTCCACATGGGGTTATTCCATTCCATTCCATTCCATTCCATTCCATTCCATTCCATTCCATTCCATTCCATTCCATTGCATTCCATTCCTTTGCATTCCACTCGGGTTGATTCCTTTCTAATCCATTCCATTCATTCCATTCCATTCCATTCCTTTCCTTTCCATTTTGGTGGATTCCACTCCTTTTCATTATATTACTTTGCATTCCATACCATTCCACTGCAATTTTTTCTATTCCAGTCCATTCCTTTCCATTCCATTCCATTCCATTCCATTCCATTCCATTCCATTCCATTCCGTTCCATTCCTTTACACTGGATTGGATTCTATTCCATTCCATTCCATTCCGTTCAATACCGTTCCTTTCCATTCCATACCATTCCATTCAATTCCGTTTCATTCCATACCATTCCATTCCACTCGAGTTCTTTCTATTCCATTCCATTCCATTCCTTTACATTACATTCACCTGGGGTTGATTCCATTCCACTCTAATCCATTCCATTCCATTCCATTCTACTCGTGTTGATTCCATTCAATGCCATTCCATTACATTCGATTCCATTCCCTTCCATTGCATTCTACTCGGGTTTATTCCATTCCATTCCATTCCATTCCATTCCATTCCATTCTATTCCATTCCCTTCAATTCCATTCCTTTCCATTCCTTTCCATTCCACTCAGATTGATTCCAATCCACTCCATTCCATTCTATTCCATCCCATTCCATTCCATTCCATTTCACTCGGGTTGATTTCATTCCATTCCATTCCATTCTATTCCATTCCACTCTGGTGTATTCCATTCCATTCCATTCCATTCCATTCCATTCCATTCCATTCCATTCCATTTCCCTCAGGTTGATTCTATTCCCTTTCATTCCATTCCATTCCATTCCAATCCATTCCACTCTTATTGGTTCCATTCCATTGCATTGCATTCCATTTCATTCCATTCCATTCCACTCATGTTGATTCCATTCCATTCCATTTCATTCCATTAAATTCTTTTCTGTACCTTTCCATGCCATTTCACTCGGGGTAATTCCATTCAATTCCATTCCATTACATTCCATTTGGGTTGATTCCATTCCATTCCATTCCGTTCAATTCCATTCAACTCTTGCTGATTCCATTCAAATCCATTGCTTTCCATTCCACTCCATTTCATTCCAGTCCACTCAGGTTGATTACATTCAATTCCATTAAATTCCATTCCGTTCCTTTCCATTCCATTTCATTCAGGTTAATTCCATTCCATTCCATTCCATTCAATTCCATTCCACTCGGGTTGATTCCATTCCATTCCATTCCATTGAATTCCATTCCACTCGGGTTGATTCCATTCCATTCCATTCCATTCAATTCCATTCCACTCTGGTTGATTCCATTCCATTCCATCCCATCCCATCCCATCCCATTCCATTCCATTCCATTCCATTGCATTCCATTCCATTCCATTGCATTCCATTCCATTCGATTCCATTTGGGTTGACTCCATTGCTTTCCATTCCATTCCATTCCATTCCATTCCATTCCATTCTATTCCATTCCCTTCCATTACACTTTTGTTGATTCCATTCCTTTCCATTCGATTCCTTTCCATTACTTTACACACTGGTTGATTCCATTCCAATCCATTCAACTGCATTCCTATCCTTTCCATTCCTTTCCATTCTAGTTAATTCCATTCCATTCCATTCGATTCCAGGTGATTCCACTGCATTCAAATCAATTCCATTCCATTCCTCTCCATTCCATTCAATTACACTTGCGTTGATACCATTCCATTCCATTCCATTCCATTCCACTCCAATCCATTCCTTTCCATTCCATTCTATTCCATTACTTTCCATTCCATTGCATTCCATTCCATTCCATTCCATTCCATTCCATTCAATTCCATTCCACTCGGTTTGATTCCATTCCATTCCATTCCATTCAATTCCATTCCACTCTGGTTGATTCCATTCCATTCCATTCCATTCCTTTCCATTCCAATTTATTCCATTCCATTCCATTCCATTCCATTCAATTCCATTCCACTCTGGTAAATTCCATTCCATTCCATTCTATTCCATTCCTTTCCATTCCAATTAATTCCATTCCATTCCATTCAATTCCATTCCACTCCACTCGGTTTGTTTCCATTCCATCCCATCCCATTCCATTCCATTGCATTCCATTCCATTCCATTCCTTTGCATTCCATTCTATTCGATTCCATACGTATTGACTCCATTGCTTTCCATTCCATTCCATTCCATTCTATTCCATACCCTTCCATTCCACTTTTGTTGATTCCATTCCATTCAATTACACTTGCATTGACTCCATTAAATTCCATTCCATTCCATTCCTTTCCATTCCTTTGCATTCCATTCCATTCCATTCCATCACTTTCAATTCCATTCATTTGCAGTCCAATGCATTCCAATCGGCTTCTTTCCATTCCATTCCATTCCATTCCATTCCATTCCATTCCACTCCATTCCAATCGGGTTAATTAAATTCCAATAGAATCCATTGCATTCCATTCTATTCCATTCCACTCCAGTTTATTCCATTCCATTCCATTCCATTCCATTGTATTCCATTCCATTCCATTCCACTTTTGTTGATACAATTCCATTCCATTCCATTCCTTTGCTTTACATTTCACAAGGGTTGATTCCATTCCATTCCATTCCATTGCATTCCATTCCATTCCTTTCCATTCTAGTTGATTCCATTCCATTCCATTCCATTCCCTTCCATTCCAGTTTATTCCATTCCATTCATATCAATTCCAATCAATTTCACTCCATTCCATTCCATTCCATTCAATTACACTTGCATTGATTCCATTCCATTCCATTCCATTCCATTCCACTCCATTCCGTTGCATTCCATTCCATTCCATTCCATTCCTTTCCATTCCATTGCAATCCATTGCATTCCACTCGGTTTGCCTCCTCTCCATTCCATTCCATTCCATTCCATTCCATTCCGTTCCATTCCATTCTTTTCCATTCTTGTTAATTCCATTCCATTCCAGTCCATGGCATTCCATTCCATTCCATTCCATTCCATTCCATTCCATTCCATTGCATTCCATGGCATTCCATTCCATTCCATTCCATTCCATTCCATTCCATGGCATTCCATTCCATTCCATTCCATTCCATTCCATTCCATGGCATTCCATTCCATGGCATTCCATTCCATTCCATTCCATTCCATGGCATTCCATTGCATTCCATTCCATTCCATTCCATTCCATTCCATTCCATTCCAGTTGATTCCATTTCATTCCATTCCATTCCATTCCATTCCAGTCGGTTTGACTCCATTTCATTCCATTCCATTCCATTCCAGTCCAGTCGGGTTGATTCCATTGCATTCCATTCCATTCCATTCCTTTCCATTCCATTACCTTCCATTCCAGTAGGGTTGACTCCATTCCTTTCCAATCAATTCCATTGCATTCCATTCCATTTTATTCCATTCCTATCGGGTTGATTCCATTCCATTCGAATCCACTACATTCCACGCAGGTTGATTCCAATCCATTCCATTCCATTCCATTCCATTCCATTCCATTCCATTCCATTCCATGCCATTGCTTTCCATTCCATTCCATTCTTTCCATTCCACATGGGGTGATTCCATTCCATTCCATTCCATTCCATTCCATTCCATTCCATTCCATTCCTTTCCATTCCACTCGGGTTGATTCCTTTCCAATCCATTCCATTCATTCCACTCCATTCCATTCCTTTCCTTTCCATTTTGGTGGATTCTACTCATTTTCATTATATTACTTTGCATTCCATACCATTCCACTGCAATTTATTCCATTCCAGTCCATTCCTTTCCATTCCATTCCATTCCATTCCATTCCATTCCGTTCCATTCCTTTACACTGGATTGGATTCTATTCCATTCCATTCCATTCCCTTCAATACCATTCCATTCCATTCCATACCATTGCATTCCATTCCGATTCATTCCATACCATTCCATTCCACTCGGGTTCATTCTACTCCATTCCATTCCATTCCTGTACATTACATTCCACTGGGGTTGATTCCATTCCACTCCAATCCATTCCATTCCATTCCATTCCACTTGTGTTGATTCCATTCAATGCCATTCCATTACATTCGATTGCATTCCCTTCGATTGCATTCTACTTGGGTTTATTCCATTCCATTCCATTCCATTCCATTCCATTCCATTCCATTCCATTCCATTCCATTCCCTTCAATTCCATTCCTTTCAATTCCTTTCCATTTCAATCAGATTGATTCCAATCCACTCCATTCCATTCTATTCAATCCCATTCCATTCCATTCCATTTCACTCGGGTGGATATCATTCCATTCCATTCCTTTCCATTCCATTCCTTTACACTCGGTTTGATTCCAATCCATTCCATTCCATTCCATTCCACTGTGGTTGATTCCACTCCATTCCATTCCATTCTATTCCATTCCACTCTGGTGTATTCCATTCCATTCCATTCTATTCCATTCCATTCCAGTCGGTTTGACACCATTTCATTCCATTCCATTCCATTCCAGTCCAGTCGGGTTGATTCCATTGCATTCCATTCCATTCCATTCCTTTCCATTCCATTACCTTCCATTCCAGTAGGGTTGACTCCATTCCTTTCCAATCAATTCCATTGCATTCCATTCCATTTTATTCCATTCCTATCGGGTTGATTCCATTCCATTCGAATCCACTACATTCCACGCAGGTTTATTCCAATCCATTGCATTCCATTCCATTCCATTCCATTCCATTCCATGCCATTGCTTTCCATTCCATTCCATTCTTTCCATTCCACATGGGGTGATTCCATTCCATTCCATTCCATTCCATTCCATTCCATTCCATTCCATTCCATTCCATTCCACTCGGGTTGATTCCTTTCCAATCCATTCCATTCATTCCACTCCATTCCATTCCTTTCCTTTCCATTTTGGTGGATTCTACTCATTTTCATTATATTCCTTTGCATTCCATACCATTCCACTGCAATTTATTCCATTCCAGTCCATTCCTTTCCATTCCATTCCATTCCATTCCATTCCATTCCATTCAATTCTCTTCAATTCCATTCCTTTCCATTCCTTTCGATTAAACTCAGATTGATTCCAATCAACTCCATTCCATTCTATTCTATTCCATTCCTTTCCATTCCATTCGGGTGTATTTCATTCCATTGCATTCCTTTCCGTTCCATTGCATTCCATTCCATTCCACTCGGTTTGATTCCAATCCATTCCATCCCATTCCATTCCATTCCATTCCATTCCACTCCATTCCATTGCATTCCATTCCACTGTGGTTGATTCCACTCCATTCCATTCCATTCTATTCCATTCCACTCTGGTGTACTCCATTCCATTCCATTCCATTCCATTCCATTCCATTCCATTCCATTCCATTCCATTCCATTCAATTCCATTCCATTCCACTCAGGTTGATTCCATTCCATTCCATTCAATTCCATTAAATTCCATTCCATTCCTTTCTATTCCATTTCACTCGGGTTAATTCCATTCAACTCATTCCATTCCATTCCACTCGCGTTGATTCCATTCCATTCCCTTCCAATCCATTCCATTCCATTCCATTCCATTCCATTCCATTCCATTCCATTCCATTCCTTTCAATTCAACTCGGGTTGATTCCATTCCATTCCATTCCATTCAATTCCATTCCACTCTGGTTGTTTCCATTCCTTTCCATTCCATTCCTTTCATTTGCAGTTTATTCCATTCCATTACATTCAATTCCATTCCACTCCACTCGGTTTGATGCCATTCCATCCCATTCCATTCCATTCCATTCCATTCCATTCCATTCCATTGCATTCCAATCGATTCCATTCGATTCCATTCTGGTTGACTCCATTGCTTTCCATTCCATTCCATTCCATTCTATTCCATTCCCTTCCATACCACTTTTGTTTATTCCATTCCATTCCTTTCCATTCCTTTGCATTACATTCCACAGGGTTTGTTTCCATTCCATTCCATTCCATTCCTTTCCATTCTAGTTGATTCCATTCCTTCCCATTCCATTCCATTCCAAACCATTCCATTCCATTCTATACCATTCCACTTCAGTTTATTCCATTCAATTCCATTCCATTCCAATCCATTCCATTCCATTCCATTTGGTTTGAATCCATTCCATTCCATTCCCTTCCATTCCATTCCATTCCATTCCATTCAATTGTACTCTGGGTGATTCCATTCCATTCCATTCCATTCCATTCCATTCCATTCCATTCCATTCCATTCCATTCGGGTTGATTTCATTCCATTCCATTCCTTTCATTTCCATTCCAACCATTCCTTTCCAATCGAGTTGATTCAATTGCATTCCATTCCATTCCATTTCATTTCATTCCTTTACAATCACGTTGATTCCATTCCATTCCATTGCATTCCATTCCATTTCATTCCATTCCGTTGCACTCCATTCCACTCGGGTTGATTCCATTCCATTCCATTCCATTCCTTTCCAATCGCGTTGAATCCATTCCATTCCTTTCCATTCCATTCCACTCCGTTCCATGCCATTACATTCCACTCGGGTTCATTCCATTCAATTCCATTGCATTCAATTCCATTCCATTCCTTTTGATTCCACCTGGCTTGATTCCTTTCCATTGCATTCCATTACATTCCACGCTATTCCATTCCATTGCATTCGATTCCATTCCATTCCAATCCATTCCATTCCATTCCATTCCACTCCATTCCATTCCACTCGGGTTGATTGCATTCCATTCCATTCTATTCCATTCCACTCGGGTTGATTCCATTCCATTCCATTCCATTCCATTCCATTCCATTCCATTCCATTCCATCCCTTTCAATTCGATTCCTTTGCAGTCCAATGCATTCCAATCGGCTTCTTTCCATTCCATTCCATTCCATTCCATTCCATTCCACTCCATTGCAATCGGGTTAATTAAATTCCAATTGAATCCATTGCATTCCATTCCATTCCATTCCACTCTGGTTTATTCTTTTCCATTCCATTCCATTCCATTCCATTGCATTCCATTCCATTTTATTCCATTGCATTCCATTCCACTTTTGTTGATTCCATTCCTTTCCTTTCCATTCCTTTGCTTTACGTATCACAAGGGTTGATTCCATTCCATACCATTCCGTTCGATTGCATTCCATTCCATTCCTTTCCATTCTAGTTGATTCCATTCCATTCCATTCCATTCCGTTCCATTCCAGTTGTTTCCATTCCATTCATATCAATTCCAATCAATTCCACTCCATTCCATTCCATTCAATTACACTTGCATTGATTCCATTCCATTCCATTCCATTCCATTCCATTGCATTCCTTTCCATTCTTGTTAATTCCATTTCTTTCCATTCCATGGCATTCCATTCCATTCCATTCCATTCCATTGCATTCCATTCCATTCCATTTGATTCCATTCCATTCAAATAAATTCCATTTTATTTACTCCATTCCTTTCTATTCCATTCCATTCCATTCCATTCCATTCCATTCCATTCCATTGCACTCGCATTGATTCCATTGCATTCCATTCCATTCCATTCCGTTCCCCTCCATTCCATTCCATTCCATTTCACTCATATTGATTCCATTCCATTCCATTCATTTCCACTCCATTCGATTCCATTACATTCAGTTCCTTTCCATTCCTTTCCTGTCCATTCCGCTCCTTTCCATTTCATTCCACTGGTGTTGATTCCATTCCATTCCATTCCATTCCATTCCATTCCATTCCATTCCAGTTGACTACATTCCATTCCATGCCCTTGCATTCCTTTCCATTCCATTCCATTCCATTCCATTCCATTGCCTTCCTTGCCATTCCTTTCCATTCTAATCGGGTGGATTCCATTCCATTCCATTCCATTCCATTCCTTTCCTTTCCATTCTTCTCGGGTTGATTCCATTGCATTGCATTCCATTCCATTCCATCCCATCCCATTCCTTTCCCTTCCATTCCACTCGTGTTGATTCCATTCCATTCCATTTCATTCCATTCCATTCCACTCGCTTTGATTCCATTCCATTGCATTCCATTCCATTCCATTCCACACCATTCCATACCATTTCATTGCATTCCGTTCCATTCCCTCGTGTTGATTCCATTCCATTCCATTCCATTAATTTCCATTACACTCCATTCCACTCGGGTTGGTTCCATTCCATTCCATTCCGTTGCACTCGTGTGAAGTCCATTCCATTCCATTCCATTCCATTCCATTCCATTCCAATCCATTCCAATCCATTCCATTCCACTTCGGTGGATTGCATTTCATTCCATTCCATTCCATTCCATTCCATTCCATTCTTTTCTATTCCAATCCATTCCATCCAATTTCACTTGATTTTATTCCTTTCCATTCCATTTCAATCCATTCCATTGCATTCCAGTCCATTCCACTCCATTCCATTCCATTCCATTCCATTCCATTCCATTCCATTCCATTCCAGTCGGTTTGACTCCATTTCATTCCATTCCATTGCATTCCATTCCATTCCAGTCCAGTCGGGTTGATTCCATTGCATTCCATTCCATTCCATTCCTTTCCATTCCATTCCCTTCCATTCCAGTAGGGTTGACTCGATTCCTTTCCATTCAATTCCATTTCATTCCATTCCTATCGGGTTGATTCCATTCCATTCGATTCCACTACATTCCGTGCAGGTTGATTCAAATCCATTTGATTCCATTCCATTCCATTCCATTCCATTCCATTCCATTTCATTCCATTACATTCCACCCGGGTTGATTCCATTCCATTCCAGTCCATTCCATTCCATTCGATTCCTTTCCATTCCATTCCATGCCATTGCTTTCCATTCCATTCCATTCTTTCCATTCCACATGGGGTGATTCCATTCCAATCCATTCCATTCCATTCCATTCCATTCCATTCCATTGCATTCCATTCCATTCCATTCCTTTCCATTCCACTCGGGTTGATTCCTTTCCAATCCATTCCATTCATTCCATTCCATTCCATTCCTTTCCTTTCCATTTTGGTGGATTCCACTCATTTTCATTATATTACTTTGCATTCCATACCATTCCACTGCAATTTATTCCATTCCAGTCCATTCCTTTCCATTCCATTCCATTCCATTCCATTCCATTCCATTACATTCCATTCCGTTCCATTCCTTTACACTGGATTCGATTCCATTCCATTCCATTCCATTCCGTTCAATACCATTCCGTTCCATTCCATACCATTCCATTCCATTCCGTTTCATTCCATACCATTCCATTCCACTCGGGTTCATTCTACTCCATTCCATTCCATTCCTGTACATTACATTCTACTGGGGTTGATTCCATTCCACTCCAATCCATTCCATTCCATTCCATTCCAATCGTGCTGATTCCATTCAATGCCATTCCATTACATTCGAATCCATTCCCTTCCATTGCATTCTACTCGGGTTTATTCCATTCCATTCCATTCCATTCCATTCCATTCCATTCCATTCCATTCCCTTCAATTCCATTCCTTTCCATTCCATTCCATTGCACTCAGATTGATTCCAATCCACTCCAATCCATTCTATTCCATCCCACTCCATTCCATTCCATTTCACTCGGGTTGATTTCATTCCATTCCATTCCTTTCCATTCCATTCCATTACACTCGGTTTGATTCCAATCCATTCCATTCCATTCCATACCATTCCATTCCATTCCATTCCATTCCATTCCATTCCATTACACTGTGGTTGATTCCACTCCATTCCATTCCATTCTATTCCATTCCACTCTGGTGTATTCCATTCCATTCCATTCCATTCCATTCCATTCCATTCCATTCCATTCCATTCCATTCCATTCCATTCCATTCCATTTCACACGGGTTGATTCTATTCCCTTTCATTCCATTCCATTCCATTCCATTCCATTCCATTCCATTCCATTCCATTCCACTCGTGTTGATTCCATTCAATGCCATTCCATTACATTCAATTCCTTTCCCTTAAAATGCATTCTACTCGGGTTTATTCCATTCCATTCCATTCCATTCCATTCCATTCCATTCCATTCCATTCCCTTCAATTCCGTTCCTTTTCATTCCTTTCCATTCCAATCAGTTTGATTCCAATCCACTCCATTCCATTATATTCCATCCCATTCCATTCTATTCCATTTCACTCGGGTTGATTTCATTCCATTCCATTCCTTTCCATTCCATTCCATTACACTCGGTTTGATTCCAATCCATTCCATTCCATTCTATTCCATTCCATTCCACTGTGGTTGATTCCACTCCATTCCATTCCATTCTATTCCATTCCACTCTGGTGTATTCCATTCCATTCCATTCCATTCCATTCCATTCCGTTCCATTCCACGTGGATTGATTCCATTCCCTTTCATTCCATTCCATTCCATTCCAATCCATTCCACTCTTATTGGTTGCATTCCATTGCATTGCATTCCATTTCATTCCATTCCATTCCAGTCATGTTGATTCCATTCCATTCCATTTCATTCCATTAATTTCTATTCCATTCCTTTCCATGCCATTTCACTCGGGGTAATTCCATTCAATTCCACTCCATTACATTCCATTTGGGTTGATTCCATTCCATTCCATTCCGTTCAAGTCCATTCAACTCTGGCTGATTCCATTCAAATCCATTGCTTTCCATTCCACCCCATTTCATTCCAGTCCACTCAGGTTGATTCCATTCCATTCCATTCCATTAAATTCCATTCCGTTCCTTTCCATTCCATTTCACTCGGGTTAATTCCATTCCATTCCATTCCATTCAATTCCATTCCACTCGGGTTGATTCCATTCCATTCCATTCCATTCAATTCCATTCCACTCTGGTTGATTCCATTCCATTCCATTCCATTCCATTCCATTCCATTCCATTCCATTCCATTCCATTATATTCGATTCAATTCCATTCCACTCAGGTTGATTTCATTCCATTCAATTCCATTCAATTCTATTCCACTCTGGTTGATTCCATTCCATTCCATCCCATTCCATTCCATTCCATTCCATTCCATTCCATTCCATTCCATTCCATTCCATTCCATTCCATTCCTTTGCATTCCATTCCGTTCCATTGCATTCCTTTCCATTCGATTCCATTCGGGTTGACTCCATTGCTTTCAATTCCATTCCATTCCATTCCATTCTATTCCATTCCCTTCCATTCCAGTTTTGTTGATTCCATTCCATACCATTCCATTCCATTCCATTCCATTCCATTCCTTTGCATTACATTCCACACAGGTTGATTCCATTCCATTCCATTCAACTGCATTCCATTCCATTCCATTCCTTTCCATTCTAGTTGATTCCATTCCATTCCATTCGATTCCAGCTGATTCCATTGCATTCAAAGCAATTCCATTCCATTCCTCTCCATTCCATTCCATTCCATTCAATTACAATTGCATTGATACCATTCCATTCCATTCCATTCCATTCCACTCCAATCCATTCCTTTCCATTCCATTCTGTTCAATTCCTTTCCGTTCAATTCCTTTCCATTCCATTCCATTCCATTCCATTCCATTCCATTCCATTCCATTCCATTCCATTCCGGTCCATTACAGTCAATTCCACTCTGGTTGATTCCATTCCATTCCATTCCATTCCATTCCATTCCATTCTCTTCAATTCGATTCCTTTCCATTCCTTTCCATTCCACTCAGATTGATTCCAATCCACTCCATTTCATTCTATTGCATCCCATTCCATTCCATTCCATTCCACTCGGGTTGATTCCAATCCATTCCATTCCATTCCATTCCATTCCATTCCATTCCATTCCATTCCACTGGGGTTGATTCCACTCCATTCCATTCCATTCTATTCCATTCCACTCTGGTGTATTCCATTCCATTCCATTGCTTTCCGTTCCATTCCATTGCATTCCATTCCATTCCATTCCATTCCACTCGGGGTGATTCCATTCCCTTTCATTCCATTCCATTCCATTCCATTCCAATCCATTCCACTCTTATTTTTTCCATTGCATTGCATTGCATTTCATTTCATGCCATTCCATTCCACTCGGGTTGATTCCATTTCATGCCATTCCATTCCATTAAATTCTATTCCGTTCCTTTCCATGCCATTTCACTGGGGGTAATTCCATTCAATTCCATTTCATTACATTCCATTTGGGTTGATTCCATTCCATTCCATTCCATTCAATTCCATTCAACTCTGGTTGATTCCACTCAATTCCATTGCTTTCCATTCCAGTCCATTTCATTCCAGTCCACTCAGGTTGATTTCATTCCATTCCATTCCATTAAATTCCATTCCGTTCCTTTCCATTCCGTTTCACTCGGGTTAATTCCATTCCATTCCATTCAATTCCATTCCACTCGGGTTGATTCCATTCCATTCCATTCCATTCAATTCCATTCCACTCGGGTTGATTCCATTCCATTCCATTCCATTCAATTCCATTCCACTCTGGTTGATTCCAGTCCATTCCATTCCATTCCTTTCCATTCTAATTAATTCCATTCCATTCTAATTTATTTCAATCCATTACATTTAATTCCATTCCACTCCACTCGGTTTGATTCCATTCTATCCGATTCCATTCCATTCCATTCCATTCCACTCTGGTTGATTCCATTCCATTCCATTCCATTCCATTCCTTTCCATTCCAATTTATTCCATTCCATTCCATTCAATTCCCTTCCTATCCACTCGGTTGGATTCCATTCCATCCCAATCCATTCTATACCATTCCATTCCATTGCATTCCATTCCATTGGATTCCATTCGGGTTGACTCCATTGTTTTCCATTCCATTCCATTCCACTCTATTCCATTCCCTTCCATTACACTTTTGTTGATTCCATTCCATTCCATTCCATTGTTTTGCATTACATTCCACACGGGTTGATTCCATTCCATTCCATTCCACTGCATTCCATTCCATTTCATTCCTTTCCATTCTAGTTGATTCCATTCCATTCCATACCATTCCATTCCAGTTGGTTCCATTCCATTCAAATCAATTCCATTCCATTCCTCTGCATTCCATTCCATTCCATTCCTCTCCATTCCATTCCATTCCATTCCTCTCCATTCCATTCCATTGCATTCCATTCCATTCCATTCCATTCCTTTCCTTTCCATTCGAGTGGATTCCATTCATTTCCCTTATATTACTTTTCATTCCATTCCATTGCACTAGAATTTTTTCCATTCCAGTCCATTCCATTCCATTCCATTACATCCTATTCCGTTCCGTTCCATTCCTTTACATTGGATTGGATTCCATTCCATTCCATTCCATTGCATTCAATTCGTTTCCATTCCATTCCACTCGTGTTGATTCTATAGAATTCCACTCCATTTCTTCACATTCCATTCCATTCCACTCGTTTTGATTCCATTGCTTTCCTTTCCTTTTCATTCCATTCCATTCCATACCATTCCATTCCGTTCCATTTCACTCCATACCATTCCATTCCACTCGGGTTAATTCCACTGCATTCCATTCCATTACATTCCATTACATTCCATTCGGGTTGATTCCATAACTTTCCAATCCACTCCATTCCATTCCATTCCACCCATGTTGATTCCATTCAAAGCCATTCCATTCCATTCCATTCGATTCCATTCTCTTCCATTGCATTCTACTCAGGTTTATTCCATTCCATTCCATTCCATTTCGATCCATTACACTCAATTCCACTCTGGTTGATTCCATTGCATTCCATTGCATTCCATTCCATTCCATTCCATTCCATTCCATTCCATTCCATTCCATTCCATTCCACTCCTTTCCATTCCATTCAATTCTCTTCAATTCCATTCCTTTCCATTCCTTTCGATTAAACTCAGATTGATTCCAATCAACTCCATTCCATTCTATTCTATTCCGTTCCATTCCATTCCATTCGGGTTTATTTCATTCCATTGCATTCCTTTCCGTTCCATTGCATTCCATTCCATTCCACTCGGTTTGATTCCAATCCATTCCATCCCATTCCATTCCATTCCATTCCATTCCATTCCATTCCATTCCACTGGGGTTGATTCCACTCCATTCCATTCCATTCTATTCCATTCCACTCTGGTGTATTCCATTCCATTCCATTCCATTCCATTCCATTCCATTCCATTCCATTCCATTCCACTCAGGTTGATTCCATTCCCTTTCATTCCATTCCATTCTATTCCAATCCATTCCACTCTTATTGGTTCCATTCCATTACATTGCATTCCATTACATTCCATTCAGTTACACTCGGGTTGATTCCATTCCATTCCATTCTATTCCATTAAATTATATTCCGTTCCTTTCCATGCCATTTCACTCGGGGTAATTCCATTCAATTCCATTCCATTCTATTCCATTTGGGTTGATTCCAATCCATTCCATTCCATTCAATTCCATTCAACTCTGGTTGATTCCATTCAATTCCGTTGCTTTCCATTCCATTCCATTTCATTCCATTCCATTCAGGTTGATTCCATTCCATTCCATTCAATTCCATTAAATTCCATTCCATTCCTTTCCATTCCATTTCACTCGGGTTAATTCCATTCAATTCATTCCATTCCATTCCACTCGCGTTGATTCCATTCCATTCCATTCCAATCCATTCCATTCCATTCCATTCCATTCGATTCCATTCCATTCCATTCCTTTCAATTCAACTCGGGTTGATTCTATTCCATTCCATTCCATTCAATTCCTTTCCACTCTGGTTGTTTCCATTCCATTCCATTCCATTCCAATCCATTCCATTCCATTCCATTCCATTCAATTCCATTCCACTCGGGTTGATTCCATTCCATTCCATTCCATTCAATTCCATTCCACTCTGGTTGATTCCATTCCATTCCATTCCATTCTAATCCATTCCATTCCATTCCATTCGATTCAATTCCATTCCACTCGGGTTGATTTCATTCCATTCAATTCCATTCAATTCTATTCCACTCTGGTTGATTCCATTCCATTCCATCCCATTCCATTCCATTCCATTCCATTCCATTCCTTTCCATTCCATTCCATTGCATTCCATTCCATTCCATTGCATTCCATTCCATTCGATTCCATTCGTGTTGACTCCATTGCTTTCAATTCCATTCCATTCCATTCCATTCCATTCTATTCCATTCCCTTCCATTCCACTTTTGTTCAGTCCATTCCATTCCATTCCATTCCATTCCATTCCATTCCATTCCTTTGCATTACATTCCACACGGGTTGATTCCATGCCATTCCATTCAACTGCATTCCATTCCATTCCATTCCTTTCCATTCTAGTTGATTCCATTCCATTCCATTCGATTCCAGGTGATTCCAGTGCATTCAAAGCAATTCCATTCCATTCCTCTCCACTCCATTCCATTCCATTCAATTACACTTGCATTGATACCATTCCATTCCATTCCATTCCATTCCATTCCATTCCATTCCACTCCAATCCATTCCTTTCCATTCCATTCTGTTCAATTCCTTTCCATTCCATTCCATTCCATTCCATTCCATTCCATTCCATTCCATTCCATTCCCGTCCATTACAGTCAATTCCACTCTGGTTGATTCCTTTCCATTCCATTCCATTCCATTCCATTCCATTCCATTGCATTCCACTCCATTCCATTCCATTCCATTCTCTTCAATTCCATTCCTTTCCATTCCTTTCCATTCCACTCAGATTTATTCCAATCCACTCCATTTCATTCTATTGTATCCCATTCCATTCCATTCCATTCCACTCGGGTTGATTTCATTCCATTCCATTCCTTTCCATTCCATTCCATTACACTATTTTTGATTCCAATCCATTCCATTCCATTCCATTCCATTCCCTTTCATTCCATTCCATTCCATTCTAATCCATTCTACTCTTATTGTTTCCATTCCATTGCATTGCATTCCATTTCATGCCATTCCATTCCACTCGGGTTGATTCCATTGCATGCCATTCCATTCCATTAAATTCTATTCCGTTCCTTTCCATGCCATTTCACTTGGGGTAATTCCATTCAATTCCATTTCATTACATTCCATTTGGGCTGATTCCATTGCATTCCATTCCATTCAATTCCATTCAACTCTGGTTGATTCCACTCAATTCCATTGCTTTCCATTCCAGTCCATTTCATTCCAGTCCACTCAGGTTGATTCCATTCCATTCCATTCCATTACATTCCATTCCGTTCCTTTCCATTCCATTTCACTCGGGTTAATTCCATTCCATTCCATTCAATTCCATTCCACTCGGGTTGATTCCATTCCATTCCATTCCATTCAATTCCATTCCACTCGGGTTGATTCCATTGCATTCCATTCCATTCAATTCCATTCCCCTCGGGTTGATTCCATTCCATTGCATTGCATTCAGTTCCATTCCACTCTGGTTGATTCCATTCCATTCCATTCCATTCCTTTCCATTCTAATTTATGCCATTCCATTACATTTAATTCCATTCCACTCCACTCGGTTTGATTCCATTCTATCCGATTCCGTTCCATTCCATTCCATTCCATTCCACTCTGGTTGATTCCATTCCATTCCATTCCATTCCATTCCATTCCATTCCATTCCTTTCCATTCCAATTTATTCCATTCCATTCCATTCAATTCCCTTCCTCTCCACTCTGTTGGATTCCATTCCATCCCATTCCATTCTATACCATTCCATTCCATTGCATTCCATTCCATTGCATTCCATTCCATTCGATTCCATTCGGGTTGACTCCATTGCTTTCCATTCCATTCCATTCCATTCTATTCCATTCCCTTCCATTACACTTTTGTTGATTCCATTCCATTCCAATCCATTCCTTTGCATTACATTCCACACGGGTTGATTCCATTCCATTCCATTCCACTGCATTCCATTCCATTCTATTCTAGTTGATTCCATTCCATTCCATTCCATTCCATTCCATTCCATTCCATTCCAGTTGATTCCATTCCATTCAAATCAATTCCATTCCATTCCTCTGCATTCCATTCCATTCCATTCCTCTCCATTCCATTCCATTCCATTCCATTCCATTCCATTCCATTCCTTTCCTTTCCATTCGGGTGGATTCCATTCATTTCCATTATATTACATTGCATTCCATTCCATTCCACTCGAATTTCCATTCCACTCGAACGGAATTCTATTCCGTTCCGTTCCATTGATTTACATTGGATTGGTTTCCATTCCATTCCATTCCATTCCATTCCATTCCATTCCATTCAATTCCTTTCCATTCCATTCCACTCGTGTTGATTCTATAGAATTCCACTCCATTTCTTTACATTCCATTCCATTCCACTCGTTTTGATTCCATTGCTTTCCTTTCCTTTTCATTCCATTCCATTCCATTCCATACCATTCCATTCCGTTCCATTTCACTCCATACCATTCCATTCCACTCGGGGAAATTCCACTGCATTTCATTCCATTCCATTCCATTACATTCCATTCGGGTTGATTCCATAACTTTCCAATCCACTCCATTCCATTCCATTCCACCTGTGTTGATTCCATTCAATGCCATTCCATTCCATTCGATTCCATACCCTTCCATTGCATTCTACTCAGGTTTATTCCATTCCATTCCATTCCATTCCATTCCATTCCATTCCATTCCATTCCACTCGGGTTGATTCCATTCTCTTTCATTCCATTCCATTCCATTCCAATCCATTCCACTCTTACTGGTTCCATTCCATTCCATTCTTTTCCATTCCATTCCATTCCATTCCACTCGGGTTGATTCCATTCCATTCCATTCCATTCCATTCCATTCCATTCCATTCCATTCCATCTTATTCAATTCCATTCCTTTGCAGTCCACTGCATTCCAATTGGCTTCTTTCCATTCCATTCAATTCCATTCCACTCCATTCCAATCGGGTTAATTAAATTCCAATCGAATCCATTGCATTCCATTCCACTCCATTCCACTCCGGTTTATTCCATTCCATTCCTTTCCATTCCTTTGTATTCCATTCCATTCCTTTCCACTTTTGTTGATTCCCTTCCATTCCATTCCATTCCATTCCTTTGCTTTACCTTTCACAAGGGTTGATTCCATTCCATTCCATTCCATTCCATTGCATTCCATTCCATTCCTTTCCATTCTAGTTGATTCCATTCCATTCCATTCCATTCCATTCCGTTCCATTCCAGTTGATTCCATTCCATTCATATCAATTCCAATCAATTCCACTCCATTCCATTCCATTCCATTCCATTCCATTCCATTCCATTCCATTCAATTACACTTGCATTGATTCCATTCCATTCCATTCCACTCCATTCCGTTGCATTCCATTCCATTCCTTTCCATTCCTTTCCATTCCATTGGAATCCCTTCCATTCCACTCGGTTTGCCTCCTCTCCATTCCATTCCATTGCATTCCATTCCATTCCAATCCTTTCCATTCTTGTTAATTCCATTCCATTCCATTCCATTCCATTGCACACGCATTGAATCCATTGCATTCCATTCCATTCCATTCCCCTTCATTCCATTCCATTCCATTCCATTTCACTCACGTTGATTCCATTCCATTCCATTCAATTCCACTCCATTCGATTCCATTACATTCAGTTCCTTTCCATTCCTTTCCTGTCCATTCCGCTCCTTTCCATTTCATTCCACTCGTGTTGGTTCCATTCCATTCCATTCCATTCCAGTTGACTCCATTCCATTCCATGACCTTGCATTCCATTCCATTCCATTCCATTCCATTCCATTCCATTCCATTCCGTGCCATTCGCTTCCATTCTAATCTGGTGCATTCCATTGCATTCCATTCCATTCCATTCCTTTCCATTCCACTCCATTCCTTTCCATTCTACTCGGGTTGATTCCATTGCATTTCATTCCATTCCATTCCATCCCATCCCATTCCATTCCCTTCCATTCCACTCGTGTTGATTCCATTCCATTCCATTTCATTCCATTCCATTCCACTCGCTTTGATTCCATTCCATTGCATTCCATTCCATTCCATTCCACACCATTCCAAACCATTTCATTGAATTCCATTCCATTCCACTCGGGTTGATTCCATTCCATTCCATTCCATTCCATTAATTTCCATTCCATTCCATTCCACTCGGCTTGGTTCCATTCCATTCCATTCCGTTGCACTCGTGTGAAGTCCATTCCATTCCATTCCATTCCATTCCTTTCCATTCCAATCCATTCCATTCCACTTGGGTGGATTCCATTTAATTCCTTTCCATTCCATTCCATTCCTTTCCATTTCAATCCATTCCATCCAATTTCACTTGATTTTATTCCTTTCCATTCCATTTCAATCCATTCCATTCCATTCTATTCCATTTCGTTCCAGTCCATTCCACTCCATTCCATTCCATTCCTCTCACATTGAATCCATTCCATTCCATTCCATTCCATTCCATTCCATTCCATTCCATTCGAGTTAACTTCATTCGATTCCATTCCATTCCATTCCCTTCCATTCCATTCCATTGCAGTCGGTTTGACTCCGTTTCATTCCATTCCATTCCATTCCATTCCAGTCCAGTCGGGTTGATTCCATTGCATTCCATTCCATTCCATTCCTGTGCATTCCATTCCATTCCATTCCTTTGCATTCCATTCCCTTCCATTCCAGTAGGTTTGACTCCATTCCTTTCCATTCAATTCCATTGCATTCCATTCCATTTCATTCCATTCCTATCGGGTTGATTCCATTCCATTCGAATCCGCTACATTCCACGCGGGTTGATTCCAATCCATTTCATTCCATTCCATTCCATTCCATTCCATTCCATTCCATTCCTTTGCATTCCCTTCCACTCGCGTTGATTCTATTGAATTCCATTCCATTCCTTTCCATTCCATTCCATTCCATTCGCTTTGATTCCATTGCATTCCTTTCCATTGCATTCCATTCCATTCCATTCCATTCCATACCATTCCATTCCATTCCATTTCATTCCTTACCATTCCTTTCTACTTGGGTTGATTGTATTCCTTTCCATTCCATTCCATTACATTCCACTCGGGTTGATTCCATTCCATTCCATTCCATTCCATTTCATTCCATTCCATTCCACTCTAATCCATTCCTTTCCATTCCATTCTATTCCATTCCTTTCCGTTCCATTGCATTCCATTCCATTCCATTCCATTCCATTCAATTCCATTCCACTCGGGTTGATTCCATTCCATTCCATTCCATTCCATTCCATTCCATTCCATTCCATTCCATTCAACTCTGGTTGATTCCATTCCATTCCATTCCATTCCTTTCCATTCCATTCCTTTCCATTCCAATTTTTTCCATTCCAATTTTTCCATTCCATTCCATTCAATTCCATTCTACTCCACTCGGTTTGTTTATATTCCATCCCTTCCCATTCCATTCCATTGCATTCCATTCCATTCCATTGCATTCCATTCCATTCCATTCCTTTGCATTCCATTCTATTCGATTCCATTCGTGTTGACTCCTTTGCTTTCTATTCCATTCCATTCCATTCTATTCCATTCCCTTCCATTCCACTTTTGTTGGTTCCATTCCATTCCATTCCATTCCTTTGCATTACATTCCACACGGGTTGATTCCGTTCCATTCCACTGCATTCCATTCCATTCCATTCCTTTCCATTCTAGTTGATTCCATTCCATTCCATTCCATTGCATTCCATTCCAGTTGATTCCATTCCATTCAAATCAATTCCATTCCATTCCTCTCCATTCCATTCCATTGCATTCCATTCCATTCCATTCCATTCCATTACACTTGCAGTGACTCCATTCAAATCCATTCCATTCCATTCCTTTCCATTCCTTTGCATTCCATTCCATTCCATTCCATTCCATTCCATTACATTAAATTCCATTAAATTCCATTCCGTTCCTTTCCATTCCATTTCACTCGGGTTAATTCCATTCCATTCCATTCCATTCCATTCCACTCGGGTTGATTACATTCCATTCCATTCCATTCAATTCCATTCCACTCGCGTTGATTCCATTCCATTCCATTCCATTCAATTCCATTGCATTCTGGTTGATTCCATTCCGTTCCGTTCCATTCCTTTCCATTCCAATTCATTCCATTCCATTACATTCAATTCCATTCCACTCCCCTCAGTTTGATTCCATTCTATCCCATTCCATTCCATTGCATTCCATTCCATTCCATTCCATTCCATTCCATTAAATTCCACTCCATTCGATTCCATTCGTGTTGACTGCATTGCTTTCCATTCCATTCTATTCCTTTCCCTTCCATTACACTTTTGTTGATTCCATTCCATTCCATTCCATTCCTTTGCATTACATTCCACACGGGTTGATTCCATTCCAGTTCATTCCATCGCATTCTATTCCATTTCATTCCTTTCCATTCTAGTTGATTCCATTCCATTCAATTCCATTCCATTGCGTTCCATTCCATTCCATTCCAGTTGATTCCACTCCATGCCATTCCATTCCATTCCATTCCATTCCATTCCATTCCATTCCATTCCATTCCACCCCATTCTATTCCATTCCATTACACTTACATTGAATCCATTCCTTTTCATTCCATTCCATTCCATTCCATTCCATTCCATTCCATTCAATTCCTTTCCATTCCATTCCACTCGTGTTGATTCTATAGAATTCCACTCCATTTCTTTACATTCCATTCCATTCCACTCGTTTTGATTCCATTGCTTTCCTTTCCTTTTCATTCCATTCCTTTCCATTCCATACCATTCCATTCCGTTCCATTTCACTCCATACCATTCCATTCCACTCGGGGAAATTCCACTGCATTTCATTCCATTCCATTCCATTACATTCCATTCGGGTTGATTCCATAACTTTCCAATCCACTCCATTCCATTCCATTCCACCTGTGTTGATTCCATTCAATGCCATTCCATTCCATTCGATTCCATACCCTTCCATTGCATTCTACTCAGGTTTATTCCATTCCATTCCATTCCATTCCATTCCATTCCATTCCATTCCATTCCATTCCACTCGGGTTGATTCCATTCTCTTTCATTCCATTCCATTCCATTCCAATCCATTCCACTCTTATTGGTTCCATTCCATTCCATTCTTTTCCATTCCATTCCATTCCATTCCACTCGGGTTGATTCCATTCCATTCCATTCCATTCCATTCCATTCCATTCCATTCCATTCCATCTTTTTCAATTCCATTCCTTTGCAGTCCACTGCATTCCAATTGGCTTCTTTCCATTCCATTCAATTCCATTCCACTCCATTCCAATCGGGTTAATTAAATTCCAATCGAATCCATTGCATTCCATTCCACTCCATTCCACTCCGGTTTATTCCATTCCATTCCTTTCCATTTCGTTGTATTCCATTCCATTCCATTCCACTTTTGTTGATTCCATTCCATTCCATTCCATTCCATTCCTTTGCTTTACCTTTCACAAGGGTTGATTCCATTCCATTCCATTCCATTCCATTGCATTCCATTCCATTCCTTTCCATTCTAGTTGATTCCATTCCATTCCATTCCATTCCATTCCATTCCATTCCATTCCGTTCCATTCCAGTTGATTCCATTCCATTCATATCAATTCCAATCAATTCCACTCCATTCCATTCCATTCCATTCCATTCCATTCAATTACACTTGCATTGATTCCATTCCATTCCATTCCACTCCATTCCGTTGCATTCCATTCCATTCCTTTCCATTCCTTTCCATTCCATTGCAATCCATTCCATTCCACTCGGTTTGCCTCCTCTCCATTCCATTCCATTCCATTCCATTCCATTCCAATCCTTTCCATTCTTGTTAATTCCATTCCATTCCATTCCATTCCATTCCATTGCACACGCATTGAATCCATTGCATTCCATTCCATTCCATTCCATTCCATTCCCCTTCATTCCATTCCATTCCATTCCATTTCACTCACGTTGATTCCATTCCATTCCATTCAATTCCACTCCATTCGATTCCATTACATTCAGTTCCTTTCCATTCCTTTCCTGTCCATTCCGCTCCTTTCCATTTCATTCCACTCGTGTTGGTTCCATTCCATTCCATTCCATTCCAGTTGACTCCATTCCATTCCATGACCTTGCATTCCATTCCATTCCATTCCATTCCATTGCATTCCATTCCATTCCGTGCCATTCGCTTCCATTCATATCGGGTGGATTCCATTGCATTCCATTCCATTCCATTCCTTTCCATTCCACTCCATTCCTTTCCATTCTACTCGGGTTGATTCCATTGCATTTCATTCCATTCCATTCCATCCCATCTCATTCCATTCCCTTCCATTCCACTCGTGTTGATTCCATTCCATTCCATTTCATTCCATTCCATTCCACTCGCTTTGATTCCATTCCATTGCATTCCATTCCATTCCATTCCACACCATTCCAAACCATTTCATTGAATTC
>NC_000020.11:30030836-30038348 GCF_000001405.40 Homo sapiens | reverse complement strand
GCTGTCTAGATTTTATGTGCGGATATTTCGTTTTCCACCATAGGCATCAAAGCGCTCCAAATATCCAACCGCAGATTGTACAAAAATAGTGTTTCAAAACTGCTCTATCAGAAAAAAAGGTTCAACTCTGTGAGTTGAATGCACACATCACAAAGAAGTTCCTGAGAATGCTTCTGCTCTAGTTTTTTTTGTGAAGGTGTTTCCTTTTCCACCATAGGCCTCAAAGCGCTCCAAATATCCACTTTCAGATTCCTGAAAAAGAGTGTTTTAAAACTCCTCTATCAACATAAGTGTTCAACTCTGTGAGTTGAATGCACTCATCACAAAGATACTTCTGAGAATGCTTCCGCCTAGTTTTTATGTGTAGGTATTTCCTTTTCCACCATAGGCCTCAGAGCACTCCAAATATCCACTTTCAGATTCTAGAAAAAGAGTGATTTAAAACTCCTCTATCAACAGAAAGGTTCGACTCTGTGAGTTGAATGCACTTATCACAAAGAAGTTTCTGAGAATGCTTCTGTCTAGTTTGTATGTGAAGATATTTCCTTTTGCACCATAAGCCTCAAAGCGCTCCAAATATCTACTTGCAGATTCTACAAAAAGAGTGTTTCAAAACTGCTCTACGAAAGAAAGGTTCAACTCTGTGAGTTGAATGCACACAACACAAACAAGTTTCGGAGAATGCTTCTGTCTAGTTTTTATGTGAAGATATTTCCTTTTACACCATAGGCCTCAAACCGCTCCAAATATCCACTTGCAGATTCAGCAAAAAGACTTTTTCAAAACTGCTCAATCAAAGGAAAGCTCAACTCTGTGAGTTGAATGCACACAACACAAACAAGTTTCTGAGACTGCTGCTGTCTAGTTTTTATGTGCGGATATTTCCTTTTCCACCATAGGCATCAAAGCGCTCCAAATATCCAACTGCAGATTCTACAAAAAGAGTGTTTCAAAACTGCTCTATCAAAGAAAGGTTCAACTCTGTGAGTTGAATGCACACATCACAAAGACGTTTCTGAGAATGCTTCTGCTCTAGTTTTTTTGTGAAGGTGTTTCCTTTTCCACCATAGGCCTCAAAGCGCTCCAAATATCCACTTGCAGATTCTTCAGAAAGAGTGTTTCAAAACTGCTCAATCATAGGAAAAGTTCAACTCTGTGAGTTGAATGCACACAACACAAAGAAGTTTCTGAGAATGCTTCTGTCTAGTTTTTATGTGAAGATATTTCCTTTTACATCATAGGCCTCAAACTGCTCCAAATATCCACTTGTGGATTCTACAAAAAGACTTTTTCAAAACTGCTCATTGAAAGGAAAGGTTCAACTCTGTGAGTTGAATGCACACAACACAAACAAGTTTCTGAGAATGCTGCTGTCTAGATTTTATGTGCGGATATTTCCTTTTCCACCATAGGCATCAAAGCGCTCCAAATATCCAACCGCAGATTGTACAAAAATAGTGTTTCAAAACTGCTCTATCAAATAAAAAGGTTCAACTCTGTGAGTTGAATGCACACAACAGAAACAAGTTTCTGAGAATGCTTCTGCTCTAGTTTTTTTGTGAAGGTGTTTCCTTTTCCACCATAGGCCTTAAAGCGCTCCAAATATCCACTTTGAGATTCCAGAAAAAGAGTGTTTTAAAACTCCTCTATCAAAGAAATGATCAACTCCGTGAGTTGAGTGCACTCATCACAAAGATATTTCTGAGAATGCTTCCGCCTAGTTTTTATGTGTAGGTATTTCCTTTTCCACCATAGGCCTCAAAGCACTCCAAATATCGACTTTCAGATTCTAGAAAAACAGTGATTTAAAACTGCTCTATCAACAGAAAGGTTCGACTCTCTGAGTTGAATGCACTTATCACAAAGAAGTTTCTGAGAATGCTTCTGTCTAGTTTTTATGTGAAGATATTTCCTTTTCCACCATAAGCCTCAAAGCGCTCCAAATATCTACTTACAGATTCTACAAAAAGAGTTTCAAAACTGCTCTACAAAAGAAAGGTTCAACTCTGTGAGTTGAATTCACACATCACAAAGAAGTTTCAGAGAATGCTTCTGTCTAGTCTTTATGTGAAGATATTTCCTTTTACACCATAGGCCTTAAACCGCTCCAAATGTCCACTTGCAGATTCTACAAAAAGACTTTTTCAAAACTGCTCAATCAAAGGAAAGGTCAACTCTGTGAGTTGAATGCACACAACACAAACAAGTTTCTGAGCATGCTGCTGTCTAGTTTTTATGTGTGGATATTTCCTTTTCCACGGTAGGCATCAAAGCCCTCCAAATATCCAATTGCAGATTCTACAAAAATAGTGTTTCAAAACTGCTCTATCAAAAAACTCAAAGAGTTGAATGCACACATCACAAAGAAGTTTCTGAGAATTCTTCTGCTCTACTTTTTATGGGAAGGTGTTTCCTTTTCCACCATAGGCCTCAAAGCACTCCAAATATCCACTTGCAGATTCTACAAAAAGAGTGTTTCAAAACTGCTCAATCAAAGGAAAATTTCAACTCTGTGAGTTGAATACACACAACACAAAGAAGTTTCTGAGAATTCTTCTGTCTAGTTTTTATGTGAAGATATTTCCTTTTACACTATAGGCCTCAAACTGCTCCAAATATCCACTTGTGGTTTCTACAAAAAGACTTTTTCAAAACTGCTCAATCAAAGGAAAGGTTCAACTATGTGAGTTGAATGCACACAACACAAACAAGTTTCTGAGAATGCTGCTGTCTAGATTTTATGTGCGGATATTTCGTTTTCCACCATAGGCATCAAAGCGCTCCAAATATCCAACCGCAGATTGTACAAAAATAGTGTTTCAAAACTGCTCTATGAAAAAAAAAGGTTCAACTCTGTGAGTTGAATGCACACATCACAAAGAAGTTTCTGAGAATGCTTGTGCTCTAGTTTTTTTTGTGAAGGTGTCTCCTTTTCCACCATAGGCCTCAAAGCGCTCCAAATATCCACTTTCAGATTACTGAAAAAGAGTCTTTTAAAAGTCCTCTATCAACATAAATGTTCAACTCTGTGAGTTGAATGCACTCATCACAAAGATAGTTCTGAGAATGCTTACGCCTAGTTTTTATGTGTAGGTATTTCCTTTTCCACCATAGGCCTCAAAGCACTCCAAATATCCACTTTCAGATTCTAGAAAAAGAGTGATTTAAAACTGCTCTATCAACAGAAAGGTTCGACTCTGTGAGTTGAATGCACTTATCACAAAGAAGTTTCTGAGAATGCTTCTGTCTAGTTTTTATGTGAAGATATTTGCTTTTCCACCATACGCCTCAAAGCGCTCCAAATATCTACTTACAGATTCTACAAAAAGAGTTTCAAAACTGCTCTACAAAAGAAAGGTTCAACTCTGCGAGTTGAATTCACACATCACAAAGAAGTTTCAGAGAATGCTTCCGTCTAGATTTTATGTGAAGATATTTCCTTTTACACCATAGGCCTCAAACCGCTCCAAATATCCACTTGCAGATTCTGCAAAAAGACTTTTTCAAAACTGCTCAATCAAAGGAAAGGTTCAACTCTGTGAGTTGAATGCACACAACACAAACAAGTTTCTGAGAATGCTGCTGTCTAGATTTTATGTGCGGATATTTCGTTTTCCACCATAGGCATCAAAGCCCTCCAAATATCCAACCGCAGATTGTACAAAAATAGTGTTTCAAAACTGCTCTATCAAAAAAAAAGGTTCAACTCTGTGAGTTGAATGCACACATCACAAAGAAGTTTCTGAGAATGCTTCTGCTCTAGTTTTTTTTGTGTAGGTGTTTCCTTTTCCACCATAGGCCTCAAAGCGCTCCAAATATCCACTTTCAGATTCCTGAAAAAGAGTGTTTTAAAACTCCTCTATGAACATAAATGTTCAACTCTGTGAGTTGAATGCACTCATCACAAAGATATTTCTGAGAATGCTTCCGCCTAGTTTTTATGTGTAGGCATTTCCTTTTCCACCATAGGCCTCAGAGCACTCCAAATATCCACTTTCAGATTCTAGAAAAAGAGTGATTTAAAACTGCTCTATCAACAGAAAGGTTCGACTGCTGTGAGTTGAATGAACTTATCACAAAGAAGTTTCTGAGAATGCTTCTGTCTAGTTTTAATGTGAAGATATTTCCTTTTCCACCGTAAGCCTCAAAGCGCTCCAAATATCTACTTACAGATTCTACAAAAAGAGTTTCAAAACTGCTCTACAAAAGAAAGGTTCCACTCTGCGAGTTGAATTCACACATCACAAAGAAGTTTCAGAGAATGCTTCTGTCTAGTTTTTATGTGAAGATATTTCCTTTTACACCATAGGCCTCAAACCGCTCCAAATATCCACTTGTAGATTCTGCAAAAAGACTTTTTCAAAACTGCTCAATCAAAGGAAAGCTCAACTCTGTGAGTTGAATGCACACAACACAAACAAGTTTCTGAGAATGCTGCTGTCTAGTTTTTATGTGCGGATATTTCCTTTTCCACCATAGGCATCAAAGCGCTCCAAATATCCAACTGCAGATTCTACAAAAAGAGTGTTTCAAAACTGCTCTATCAAAGAAAGGTTCAACTCTGTGAGTTGAATGCACACATCACAAAGACGTTTCTGAGAAAGCTTCTGCTCTAGTTTTTTTGTGAAGGTGTTTCTTTTTCCACCACAGGCCTCAAAGCGCTCCAAATATCCACTTGCAGATTCTTCCGAAAGAGTGTTTCAAAACTGCTCAATCATAGGAAAAGTTCAACTCTGTGAGTTGAATGCACACAACACAAAGAAGTTTCTGAGAATGCTTCTGTCTAGTTTTTATGTGAAGATATTTCCTTTTACACCATAGGCCTCAAACTGCTCCAAATATCCACTTGTGGATTCTACAAAAAGACTATTTCAAAACTGCTCAATCAAAGGAAAGGTTCAACTCTGTGAGCTGAATGCACACAACACAAACAAGTTTCTGAGAATGCTGCTCGTCTAGATTTTATGTGCGGATATTTCGTTTTCCACCATAGGCATCAAAGCGCTCCAAATATCCAACCGCAGATTGTACAAAAATAGTGTTTCAAAACTGCTCTATCAAAAAAAAAGGTTCAACTCTGTGAGTTGAATGCACACATCACAAAGAAGTTTCTGAGAATGCTTCTGCTCTAGTTTTTTCTGTGAAGGTGTTTCCTTTTCCACCATAGGCCTCAAAGCGCTCCAAATATCCACCTTCAGATTCCTGAAAAAGAATGTTTTAAAACTCCTCTATCAACATAAGTGTTCAACTCTGTGAGTTGAATGCACTCATCACAAAGATACTTCTGAGAATGCTTCCACCTAGTTTTTATGTGTAGGTATTTCCTTTTCCACCATAGGCCTCAAAGCACTCCAAATATCCACTTTCAGATTCTAGAAAAAGAGTGATTTAAAACTGCTCTATCAACAGAAAGGTTCGACTCTGTGAGTTGAATGCACTTATCAGAAAGAAGTTTCTGAGAATGCTTCTGTCTAGTTTTTATGTGAAGATATTTCCTTTTCCACCATAAGCCTCAAAGCGCTCCAAATATCTACTTACAGATTCTACAAATAGAGTTTCAAAACTGCTCTACAAAAGAAAGGTTCAACTCTGTGATTTGAATTCACACATCACAAAGAAGTTTCAGAGAATGCTTCTGTCTAGTTTTTATGTGAAGATATTTCCTTTTACACCATAGGCCTCAAACCGCTCCAAATATCCACTTGCAGATTCTGCAAAAAGACTTATTCAAAACTGCTCAATCAAAGGAAAGGTCAACTCTGTGAGTTGAATGCATACAACACAAACAAGTTTCTGAGAATGCTGCTGTCTAGTTTTTATGTGCGGATATTTCCTTTTCCACCATAGGCATGAAAGCGCTCCAAATATCCAACTGCAGATTCTACAAAAAGAGTGTTTCAAAACTGCTCTATCAAAGAAAGGTTCAACTCTGTGAGTTGAATGCACACATCACAAAGACGTTTCTGAGAATGCTTCTGCTCTAGTTTTTTTGTGAAGGTGTTTCCTTTTCCACCATAGGCCTCAAAGCGCTCCAAATATCCACTTGCAGATTCTTCAGAAAGAGTGTTTCAAAACTTCTCAATCATAGGAAAAGTTCAACTCTGTGAGTTGAATGCACACAACACAAAGAAGTTTCTGAGAATGCTTCTGTCTAGTTTTTATGTGAAGATATTTCCTTTTACACCATAGGCCTCAAACTGCTCCAAATATCCACTTGTGGATTCTACAAAAAGACTTTTTCAAAACTGCTCAATCAAAGGAAAGGTTCAACTCTGTGAGTTGAATGCACACAACACAAACAAGTTTCTGAGAATGCTGCTGTCTAGATTTTATGTGCGGATATTTCGTTTTCCACCATAGGCATCAAAGCGCTCCAAATATCCAACCGCAGATTGTACAAAAATTGTGTTTCAAAACTGCTCTATCAAAAAAAAAGGTTCAACTCTGTGAGTTGAATGCACACATCACAAAGAAGTTTCTGAGAATGCTTCTGCTCTAGTTTTTTTTGTGAAGGTGTTTCCTTTTCCACCATAGGCCTCAAAGCGCTCCAAATATCCACTTTCAGATTCCTGAAAAAGAGTGTTTTAAAACTCCTCTATCAACATAAGTGTTCAACTCTGTGAGTTGAATGCACTCATCACAAAGATATTTCTGAGAATGCTTACGCCTAGTTTTTATGTGTAGGTATTTCCTTTTCCACCATAGGCCTCAAAGCACTCCAAATATCCACTTTCAGATTCTAGAAAAAGAGTGATTTAAAACTGCTCTATCAACAGAAAGGTTCGACTCTGTGAGTTGAATGCACTTATGACAAAGAAGTTTCTGAGAATGCTTCTGTCTAGTTTTTATGTGAAGATATTTCCTTTTCCACCATAAGCCTCAAAGCGCCCCAAATACCTACTTACAGATTCTACAAAAAGAGTTTCAAAACTGCTCTACAAATAAATGTTCAACTCCGTGAGTTGAATTCACACATCACAAAGAAGTTTCAGAGAATGCTTCTGTCTAGTTTTTATGTGAAGATATTTCCTTTTACACCATAGGCCTCAAACCTCTCCAAATATCCACTTGCAGATTCTGCAAAAAGACTTTTTCAAAACTGCTCAATCAAAGGAAAGGTCAACTCTGTGAGTTGAATGCACACAACACAAACAAGTTTCTGAGAATGCTGCTGTCTTGTTTTTATGTGCGGATATTTCCTTTTCCACCGTAGGCATCAAAGCGCTCCAAATATCCAACTGCAGATTCTACAAAAAGAGTGTTTCAAAACTGCTCTATCAAAGAAAGGTTCAACTCTGTGAGTTGAATGCACACATCACAAAGACGTTTCTGAGAATGCTTCTGCTCTAGTTTTTTCGTGAAGGTGTTTCCTTTTCCAGCATAGGCCTCAAAGCGCTCCAAATATCCACTTGCAGATTCTTCAGAAAGAGTGTTTCAAAACTGCTCAATCATAGGAAAAGTTCAACTCTGTGAGTTGAATGCACACAACACAAAGAAGTTTCTGAGAATGCT
>NC_000020.11:30017594-30030736 GCF_000001405.40 Homo sapiens | reverse complement strand
CTTCTGTCTAGTTTTTATGTGAAGATATTTCCTTTTCTACCATATACCTCAAAGTGCTCCAAATGTCCACTTGCAGATTCTACAAAAAGAGTGTTTCAAAACTGGTCTATGAAAAAGAAGGTTCATATGTGCCACATTTTCTTAATCCAGTCTATCATTGTTAGACATTTGGTTTAGTTCCAAGTCTTTGCTATTGTGAATAATGCCGCACATATGCACCATGGAATACTATGCAGCCGTAAAAAATGATAAGTTCATGTCCTTTGCAGGGACATGGATGAAATTGGAAATCATCATTGCTGTCTAGATTTTATCTGCAGATATTTCGTTTTCCACCATAGGCATCAAAGCGCTCCAAATATCCAACCGCAGATTGTACAAAAATAGTGTTTCAAAACTGCTCTATCAAAAAAAAAGGTTCAACTCTGTGAGTTGAATGCACACATCACAAAGAAGTTCCTGAGAATGCTTCTGCTCTAGTTTTTTTTGTGAAGGTGTTTCCTTTTCCACCATAGGCCTCAAAGCGCTCCAAATATCCACTTTCAGATTCCTGAAAAAGAGTGTTTTAAAACTCCTCTATCAACATAAGTGTTCAACTCTGTGAGTTGAATGCACTCATCACAAAGATACTTCTGAGTATGCTTCTGACTAGTTTTTATGTGTAGGTATTTCCTTTTCCACCATAGGCCTCAAAGCACTCCAAATATCCACTTTCAGATTCTAGAAAAAGAGTGATTTAAAACTGCTCTATCAACAGAAAGGTTCGACTGTGTGAGTTGAATGCACTTATCACATAGAAGTTTCTGAGAATGCTTCTGTCTAGTTTTTATGTGAAGATATTTCCTTTTCCACAATAAGCCTCAAAGCGCTCCAAATATCTACTTACAGATTCTACAAAAAGAGTTTCAAAACTGCTCTACAAAAGAATGGTTCAACTCTGTGAGTTGAATTCACACATGACAAAGAAGTTTCAGAGAATGCATCTGTCTAGTTTTTATGTGAAGATATTTCCGTTTACACCATAGGCCTCAAACCGCTCCAAATATCCACTTGCAGATTCTGCAAAAAGACATTTTCAAAACTGCTCAATCAAAGGAAAGCTCAACTCTGTGAGTTGAATGCACACAACACAAACAAGTTTCTGAGAATGCTGCTGTCTAGTTTTTATGTGCGGATATTTCCTTTTCCACCATAGGCATCAAAGCGCTCCAAATCTCCAACTGCAGATTCTACAAAAAGAGTGTTTCAAAACTGCTCTATCAAAGAAAGGTTCAACTCTGTGAGTTGAATGCACACATCACAAAGACGTTTCTGAGAATGCTTCTGCTCTAGTTTTTTTGTGAAGGTGTTTCCTTTTCCACCATAGGCCTCAAAGCGCTCCAAATATCCACTTGCAGATTCTTCAGAAAGAGTGTTTCAAAACTGCTCAATCATAGGAAAAGTTCAACTCTGTGAGTTGAATGCACACAACACAAAGAAGTTTCTGAGAATGCTTCTGTCTAGTTTTTATGTGAAGATATTTCCTTTTACACCATAGGCCTCAAACTGCTCCAAATATCCACTTGTGGATTCTACAAAAAGACTTTTTCAAAACTGCTCAATCAAAGGAAAGGTTCAACTCTGTGAGTTCAATGCACACAACACAAACAAGTTTCTGAGAATGCTGCTGTCTAGATTTTATATGCGGATATTTCGTTTTCCACCATAGGCATCAAAGCGCTCCAAATATCCAACCGCAGATTGTACAAAAATAGTGTTTCAAAACTGCTCTATCCAAAAAAAAGGTTCAACTCTGTGAGTTGAATGCACACATCACAAAGAAGTTCCTGAGGATGCTTCTGCTCTAGTTTATTTTTGTGATGGTGTTTCCTTTTCCACCATAGGCCTCAAAGCGCTCCAAATATCCACTTTCAGATTCCTGAAAAAGAGTGTTTTAAAACTCCTCTATCAACATAAATGTTCAACTCTGTGAGTTGAATGCACTCATCACAAAGATATTTCTGAGAATGCTTCCGCCTAGTTTTTATGTGTAGGTATTTCCTTTTCCACCATAGGCCTCAAAGCACTCTAAATATCCAATTTCAAATTCTAGAAAAAGAGTGATTTAAAACTGCTCTATCAACAGAAAGCTTCGACTCTGTGAGTTGAATGCACTTATCACAAAGAAGTTTCTGAGAATGCTTCTGTCTAGTTTTTATGTGAAGATATTTCCTTTTCCACCATAAGCCTCAAAGCGCTCCAAATATCTACTTACACATTCTACAAAAAGAGTTTCAAAACCGCTCTACAAAAGAAAGGTTCAACTCTGTGAGTTGAATTCACACATCACAAAGAAGTTTCAGAGAATGCTTCTGTCTAGTTTTTATGTGAAGATATTTCCTTTTACACCATAGGCCTCAAACCGCTCCAAATATCCACTTGCAGATTCTGCAAAAAGACATTTTCAAAACTGCTCAATCAAAGGAAAGCTCAACTCTGTGAGTTGAATGCACACAACACAAACAAGTTTCTGAGAATGCTGCTGTCTAGTTTTTATGTGCGGATATTTCCTTTTCCACCATAGGCATCAAAGCGCTCCAAATATCCAACTGCAGATTCTACAAAAAGAGTGTTTCAAAACTGCTCTATCAAAGAAAGGTTCAACTCTGTGAGTTGAATGCACACATCACAAAGACGTTTCTGAGAATGCTTCTGCTCTAGTTTTTTTGTGAAGGTGTTTCCTTTTCCACCATAGGCCTCAAAGCGCTCCAAATATCCACTTGCAGATTCTTCAGAAAGAGTGTTTCAAAACTGCTCAATCATAGGAAAAGTTCAACTCTGTGAGTTGAATGCACACAACACAAAGAAGTTTCTGAGAATGCTTCTGTCTAGTTTGTATGTGAAGATATTTCCTTTTCCATCATAGGCTTCAATGTGCTTCAAATATCCACTTGTAGATTCTACAAAAAGACTTTTTCAAAACTGCTCAATCAAAGGAAAGGTTCAACTCTGTGAGTTGAATGCACACAACACAAACAAGTTTCTGAGAATGCTGCTGTCTAGATTTTATGTGCGGATATTTCGTTTTCCACCTTAGGCATCAAAGCGATCCAAATATCCAACGGCAGATTGTACAAAAATAGTGTTTCAAAACTGCTCTATCAAAAAAAAAGTTTCAACTCTGTGAGTTGAATGCACACATCACAAAGAAGTTTCTGAGAATGCTTCTTCTCTAGTTTTTTTTGTGAAGGTGTTTCCTTTTCCACCAAAGTCCTCAAAGCGCTCCAAATATCCACTTTCAGATTCCTGAAAAAGAGTGTTTTAAAACTCCTCTATCAACATAAATGTTCAACTCTGTGAGTTGAATGCACTCATCACAAAGATATTTCTGAGAATGCTTCCGCCTCTTTTTTATGTGTAGGTATTTCCTTTTCCACAATAGGCCTCAAAGCACTCCAAATATCCAGTTTCAGATTCTAGAAAAAGAGTGATTTAAAACTGCTCTATCAACAGAAAGGTTCGACTCTGTGAGTTGAATGCACTTATCACAAAGAAGTTTCTGAGAATGCTTCTGTCTAGATTTTATGTGAAGATATTTCCTTTTCCACCATAAGACTCAAAGCGCTCCAAATATCTACTTACAGATTCTACAAAAAGAGTTTCAAAACTGCTCTACAAAAGAAAGGTTCAACTCTGCGAGTTGAATTCACACATCACAAAGAAGTTTCAGAGAATGCTTCTGTCTAGTTTTTATGTGAAGATATTTCCTTTTACACCATAGGCCTCAAACCGCTCCAAATATCCACTTGCAGATTCTGCAAAAAGACTTTTTCAAAACTGCTCAATCAAAGGAAAGGTCAACTCTGTGAGTTGAATGCACACAACACAAACAAGTTTCTGAGAATGCTGCTGTCTTGTTTTTATGTGCGGATATTTCCTTTTCCACCGTAGGCATCAAAGCGCTCCAAATATCCAACTGCAGATTCTACAAAAAGAGTGTTTCAAAACTGCTCTATCAAAGAAAGGTTCAACTCTGTGAGTTGAATGCACACATCACAAAGACGTTTCTGAGAATGCTTCTGCTCTAGTTTTTTTGTGAAGGTGTTTCCTTTTCCACCGTAGGCCTCAAAGCGCTCCAAATATCCACTTGCAGATTCTTCAGAAAGAGTGTTTCAAAACTGCTCAATCATAGGAAAAGTTCAACTCTGTGAGTTGAATTCACACAACACAAAGAAGTTTCTGAGAATGCTTCTGTCTAGTTTTTATGTGAAGATATTTCCTTTTACACCATAGGCCTCAAACTGCTCCATATATCCACTTTTGGATTCTACAAAAAGACTTCTTCAAAACTGCTCAATCAAAGGAAAGGTTCAACTCTGTGAGTTGAATGCACACAACACAAACAAGTTTCTGAGAATGCTGCTGTCTAGATTTTATGTGCGGATATTTCGTTTTCCACCATAGGCATCAAAGCGCTCCAAATATCCAACCGCAGATTGTACAAAGATAGTGTTTCAAAACTGCTCTATCAAAAAAAAAAGGTTCAACTCTGTGAGTTGAATGCACACATCACAAAGAAGTTCCTGAGAATGCTTCTGCTCTAGTTTTTTTTGTGAAGGTGTTTCCTTTTCCACCATAGGCCTCAAAGCGCTCCAAATATCCACTTTCAGATTCCTGAAAAAGAGTGTTTTAAAACTCCTCTATCAACATAAATGTTCAACTCTGTGAGTTGAATGCACTCATCACAAAGATATTTCTGAGAATGCTTCCGCCTAGTTTTTATGTGTAGGTATTTCCTTTTCCATCATAGGCCTCAGAGCACTCCAAATATCCACTTTCAGATTCTAGAAAAAGAGTGATTTAAAACTCCTCTATCAACAGAAAGGTTCGACTCTGTGAGTTGAATGCACTTATCACAAAGAAGTTTCTGAGAATGCTTCTGTCTAGTTTTTATGTGAAGATATTTCCTTTTCCACCATAAGCCTCAAAGCGCTCCAAATATCTACTTACAGATTCTACAAAAAGAGTTTCAAAACTGCTCTACAGAAGAAAGGTTCAACTCTGTGAGTTGAATTCACACATCACAAAGAAGTTTCAGAGAATGCTTCTGTGTAGTTTTTATGTGAAGATATTTCCTTTTACACCATAGGCCTCAAACCGCTCCAAATATCCACTTGCAGATTCTGCAAAAAGACTTTTTCAAAACTGCTCAATCAAAGGAAAGCTCAACTCTGTGAGTTGAATGCACACAACACAAACAATTTTCTGAGAATGCTGCTGTCTAGTTTTTATGTGCGGATATTTCCTTTTCCACCATAGGCATCAAAGCGCTCCAAATATCCAACTGCAGATTCTACAAAAAGAGTGTTTCAAAACTGCTCTATCAAAGAAAGGTTTAACTCTGTGAGTTGAATGCACACATCACAAAGACGTTTCTGAGAATGCTTCTGCTCTAGTTTTTTTGTGAAGGTGTTTCCTTTTCCACCATAGGCCTCAAAGCGCTCCAAATATCCACTTGCAGATTCTTCAGAAAGAGTGTTTCAAAACTGCTCAATCATAGGAAAAGTTCAACTCTGTGAGTTGAATGCACACAACACAAAGAAGTTTCTGAGAATGCTTCTGTCTAGTTTTTATGTGAAGATATTTCCTTTTACACCATAGGCCTCAAACTGCTCCAAATATCCACTTGTGGATTCTACAAAAAGACTATTTCAAAACTGCTCAATCAAAGGAAAGGTTCAACTCTGTGAGCTGAATGCACACAACACAAACAAGTTTCTGAGAATGCTGCTGTCTAGATTTTATGTGCGGATATTTCGTTTTCCACCATAGGCATCAAAGCGCTCCAAATATCCAACCGCAGATTGTACAAAAATAGTGTTTCAAAACTGCTCTATCAAATAAAAAGGTTCAACTCTGTGAGTTGAATGCACACATCACAACGAAGTTTCTGAGAATGCTTCTGCTCTGGTTTTTTTTGTGAAGGTGTTTCCTTTTCCACCATAGGCCTCAAAGCGCTACAAATATCCACTTTCAGATTCCTGAAAAAGAGTGTTTTAAAACTCCTCTATGAACATAAATGTTCAACTCTGTGAGTTGAATGCACTCATTACAAAGATAGTTCTGAGAATGATTCCGCCTAGTTTTTATGTGTAGGTATTTCCTTTTCCACCATAGGCCTCAAAGCACTCCAAATATCCACTTTCAGATTCTAGAAAAAGAGTGATTTAAAACTGTTCTATCAACAGAAAGGTTCGACTCTGTGAGTTGAATGCACTTATCACAAAGAAGTTTCTGAGAATGTTGCTGTCTACTTTTTATGTGCGGATATTTCCTTTTCCATCGTAAGCCTCAAAGCGCTCCATATATCTACTTGCAGATTCTACAAAAAGAGTGTTTCAAAACTGCTCTACAAAAGAAAGGTTCAACTCTGTGACTTGAATGCACACATCACAAAGAAGTTTCAGAGAATGCTTCTGTCTAGTTTTTATGTGAATATATTTCCTTTTACACCATAGGCCTCAAACCGCTGCAAATATCCACTTGCAGATTCTGCAAAAAGACTTTTTCAAAACTGCTCAATCAAAGGAAAGGTCAACTCTGTGAGTTGAATGCACACAACACAAACAAGTTTCTGAGAATGCTGCTGTCTAGTTTTTATGTGCAGATATTTCCTTTTCCACCATAGGCATCAAAGCGCTCCAAATATCCAACTGCAGATTCTACAAAAAGAGTGTTTCAAAACTGCTCTATCAAAGAAAGGTTCAACTCTGTGAGTTGAATGCACACATCACAAAGACGTTTCTGAGAATGCTTCTGCTCTAGTTTTTTTGTGAAGGTGTTTCCTTTTCCACCGTAGGCCTCAAAGCGCTCCAAATATCCACTTGCAGATTCTTCAGAAAGAGTGTTTCAAAACTGCTCAATCATAGGAAAAGTTCAACTCTGTGAGTTGAATGCACACATCACAAAGAAGTTTCTGAGAATGCTTCTGTCTAGTTTTTATGTGAAGATATTTCCTTTTACACCATAGGCCACAAACTGCTCCAAATATCCACTTGTGGATTCTACAAAAAGACTTTTTCAAAACTGCTCAATCAAAGGAAAGGTTCAACTCTGTGAGTTGAATGCACACAACACAAACAAGTTTCTGAGAATGTTGCTGTCTAGATTTTATGTGCGGATATTTCGTTTTCCACCATAGGCATCAAAGCGCTCCAAATATCCAACCGCAGATTGTACAAAAATAGTGTTTCAAAACTGCTCTATCAAATAAAAAGGTTCAACTCTGTGAGTTGAATGCACACATCACAACGAAGTTTCTGAGAATGCTTCTGCTGTAGTTTTTTTTGTGAATGTGTTTCCTTTTCCACCACAGGCCTCAAAGCGCTCCAAATATCCACTTTCAGATTCCTGAAAAAGAGTGTTTTAAAACTCCTCTATCAACATAAGTGTTCAACTCTGTGAGTTGAATGCACTCATCACAAAGATATTTCTGAGAATGCTTCGGCCTAGTTTTTATGTGTAGGTATTTCCTTTTCCACCATAGGCCACAAAGCACTCCAAATATCCACTTTCAGATATTAGAAAAAGAGTGCTTTTAAACTGCTCTATCAACAGAAAGGTTCGACTCTGTGAGTTGAATGCACTTATCACAAAGAAGTTTCTGAGAATGCTTCTGTCTAGTTTTTATGTGAAGATATTTCCTTTTCCACCATAAGCCTCAAAGCGCTCCAAATATCTACGTACAGATTCTACAAAAAGAGTTTCAAAACTGCTCTACAAAAGAAAGGTTCAACTCTGCGAGTTGAATTCACACATCACAAACAAGTTTCAGAGAATCCTTCTGTCTAGTTTTTATGTGAAGATATTTCCTTTTACACCATAGGCCTCAAACCGCTCCAAATATCCACTTGCAGATTCTGCAAAAAGACTTTTTCAAAACTGCTCAATCAAAGGAAAGCTCAACTCTGTGAGTTGAATGCACACAACACAAACAAGTTTCTGAGAATGCTGCTGTCTAGTTTTTATGTGCGGATATTTCCTTTTCCACCATAGGCATCAAAGCGCTCCAAATATCCAACTGCAGATTCTACAAAAAGAGTGTTTCAAAACTGCTCTATCAAAGAAAGGTTGAAATCTGTGAGTTGAATGCACACATCACAAAGACGTTTCTGAGAATGCTTCTGCTCTAGTTTTTTTGTGAAGGTGTTTCCTTTTCCACCATAGGCCTCAAAGCGCTCCAAATATCCACTTGCAGATTCTTCAGAAAGAGTGTTTCAAAACTGCTCAATCATAGGAAAAGTTCAACTCTGTGAGTTGAATGCACACAACACAAAGAAGTTTCTGAGAATGCTTCTGTCTAGTTTTTATGTGAAGATATTTCCTTTTACACCATAGGCCTCAAACTGCTCCATATATCCACTTGTGGATTCTACAAAAAGACTTTTTCAAAACTGCTCAATCAAAGGAAAGGTTCAACTCTGTGAGTTGAATGCACACAACACAATCAAGTTTCTGAGAATGCTGCTGTCTAGATTTTATGTGCGGATATTTCGTTTTCCACCATAGGCATCAAAGCGCTCCAAATATCCAACCGCAGATTGTACAAAAATAGTGTTTCAAAACTGCTCTATCAAAAAAAAAGGTTCAACTCTGTGAGTTGAATGCACACATCACAAAGAAGTTCCTGAGAATGCTTCTGCTCTAGTTTTTTTTTCTGAAGGTGTTTCCTTTTCCACCATAGGCCTCAAAGCGCTCCAAATATCCACTTTCAGATTCCTGAAAAAGAGTGTTTTAAAACTCCTCTATCAACATAAATGTTCAACTCTGTGAGTTGAATGCACTCATCACAAAGATATTTCTGAGAATGCTTCCGCCTAGTTTTTATGTGTAGGTATTTCCTTTTCCACCATAGGCCTCAGAGCACTCCAAATATCCACTTTCAGATTCTAGAAAAAGAGTGATTTAAAACTGCTCTATCAACAGAAAGGTTCGACTCTGTGAGTTGAATGCACTTATCACAAAGGAGTTTCTGAGAATGCTTCTGTCTAGTTTTTATGTGAAGATATTTCCTTTTCCACCATAAGCCTCAAAGCGCTCCAAATATCTACTTACAGATTCTACAAAAAGAGTTTCAAAACTGCTCTACAAAAGAAAGGTTCAACTCTGTGAGTTGAATTCACACATCACAAAGAAGTTTCAGAGAATGCTTCTGTCTACGTTTTATGTGAAGATATTTCCTTTTACACCATAGGCCTCAAACCGCTCCAAATATCCACTTGCAGATTCTGCAAAAAGACATTTTCAAAACTGCTCAATCAAAGGAAAGTCCAACTCTGTGAGTTGAATGCACACAACACAAACACGTTTCTGAGAATGCTGCTGTCTAGTTTTTATGGGCGGACATTTCCTTTACCACCATAGGCATCAAAGCGCTCCAAATATCCAACTGCAGATTCTACAAAAAGAGTGTTTCAAAACTGCTCTATCAAAGAAAGGTTCAACTCTGTGAGTTGAATGCACACATCACAAAGACGTTTCTGAGAATGCTTCTGCTCTAGTTTTTTTTGTGAAGGTGTTTGCTTTTCCACCATAGACATCAAAGCACTCCAAATATCCACTTGCAGATTCTTCAGAAAGAGTGTTTCAAAACTGCTCAATCATAGGAAAAGTTCAACTTTGTGAGTTGAATGCACACAACACAAAGAAGTTTCTGAGAATGCTTCTGTCTAGTTTGTATGTGAAGATATTTCCTTTTCCATCATAGGCTTCAATGTGCTTCAAATATCCACTTGTAGATTCTACAAAAAGACTTTTTCAAAACTGCTCAATCAAAGGAAAGGTTCAACTCTGTGAGTTGAATGCACACAACACAAACAAGTTTCTGAGAATGCTGCTATCTACTTTTTATGTGCGGATATTTCCTTTCCCACCATAGGCATCAAAGAGCTCCAAATATCCAATTGCAGATTCTACAAAAAGAGTGTTTCAAAACTGCTCTACAAAAGAAAGGTTCAACTCTGTGAGTTGAATGCACACATCACAAAGAAGTTTCAGAGAATGCTTCTGTCTAGTTTCTATGTGAAGATATTTCCTTTTACACCATAGGCCTCAAACGCTCCAAATATCCACTTGCAGATTCTGCAAAAGGACTTTTTCAAAACTGCTCAATCAAAGGAAAGTTTCAACTCTGTGAGTTGAATGCACACAACACAAACAAGTTTCTGAGAATGCTTCTGTCTAGTTTTTATGTGAAGATATTTCCTTTTACACCATAGGCCTCAAACTGCTCCAAATATCCACTTGTGGATTCTACAAAACGACTATTTCAAAACTGCTCAGTCAAAGGAAAGGTTCAACTCTGTGAGCTGAATGCACACAACACAAACAAGTTTCTGAGAATGCTGCTGTCTAGATTTTATGTGCGGATATTTCGTTTTCCACCACAGGCATCAAAGCGCTCCAAATATCCAACCGCAGATTGTACAAAAATAGTGTTTCAAAACTGCTCTATCAAAAAAAAAGGTTCAACTCTGTGAGTTGAATGCACACATCACAAAGAAGTTTCTGAGAATGCTTCCGCTCTAGTTTTTTTGTGAAGGTGTTTCCTTTTCCACCATAGGCCTCAAAGCGCTCCAAATATCCACTTTCAGATTCCTGAAAAAGAGTGTTTTAAAACTCCTCTATGAACATAAATGTTCAACTCTGTGAGTTGAATGCACTCATCACAAAGATAGTTCTGAGAATGCTTCCGCCTAGTTTTTATGTGTAGGTATTTCCTTTTCCACCATAGGCCTCAGAGCACTCCAAATATCCACTTTCAGATTCTAGAAAAAGAGTGATTTAAAACTGCTCTATCAACAGAAAGGTTCGACTCTGTGAGTTGAATGCACTTATCACAAAGAAGTTTCTGAGAATGCTTCTGTCTAGTTTTTAAGTGAAGATATTTCCTTTTCCACCATAAGCCTCAAAGCGCTCCAAATATCTACTTACAGATTCTACAAAAAGAGTTTCAAAACTGCTCTACAAAAGAAAGGTTCAACTCTGTGAGTTGAATTCACACATCACAAAGAAGTTTCAGAGAATGCTTCTGTCTAGTTTTTATGTGAAGATATTTCCTTTTACACCATAGGCCTCAAACCGCTCCAAATATCCACTTGCAGATTCTGCAAAAAGACTTATTCAAAACTGCTCAATCAAAGGAAAGGTCAACTCTGTGAGTTGAATGCATACAACACAAACAAGTTTCTGAGAATGCTGCTGTCTAGTTTTTATGTGCGGATATTTCCTTTTCCACCATAGGCATCAAAGCGCTCCAAATATCCAACTGCAGATTCTACAAAAAGAGTGTTTCAAAACTACTCTATCAAACAAAGGTTCAACTCTGTGAGTTGAATGCACACATCACAAAGACGTTTCTGAGAATGCTTCTGCTCTAGTTTTTTTTGTGAAGGTGTTTGCTTTTCCACCATAGACCTCAAAGCACTCCAAATATCCACTTGCAGATTCTTCAGAAAGAGTGTTTCAAAACTGCTCAATCATAGGAAAAGTTCAACTTTGTGAGTTGAATGCACACAACACAAAGAAGTTTCTGAGAATGCTTCTGTCTAGTTTTTATGTGAAGATATTTCCTTTTACACCATAGGCCTCAAACTGCTCCAAATATCCACTTGTGGATTCTACAAAAAGACTTTTTCAAAACTGCTCAATCAAAGGAAAGGTTCAACTCTGTGAGTTGAATGCACACAACACGAACAAGTTTCTGAGAATGCTGCTGTCTAGATTTTATGTGCGGATATTTCGTTTTCCACCATAGGCATCAAAGCGCTCCAAATATCCAACCGCAGATTGTACAAAAAAAGTGTTTCAAAACTGCTCTATCAAATAAAAAGGTTCAACTCTGTGAGTTGAATGCACACATCACAACGAAGTTTCTGAGAATGCTTCTGCTCTAGTTTTTTTTGTGAAGGTGTTTCCTTTTCCACCATAGGCCTCAAAGCGCTCCAAATATCCACTTTCAGATTCCTGAAAAAGAGTGTTTTAAAACTCCTCTATCAACATAAGTGTTCAACTCTGTGAGTTGAATGCACTCATCACAAAGATACTTCTGAGTATGCTTCCGCCTAGTTTTTATGGGTAGGTATTTCCTTTTCCACCATAGGCCACAAAGCACTCCAAATATCCACTTTCAGATTCTAGAAAAAGAGTGATTTAAAACTGCTCTATCAACAGAAAGGTTCGACTCTGTGAGTTGAATGCACTTATCACAAAGAAGTTTCTGAGCATGCTTCTGTCTAGTTTTTATGTGAAGATATTTCCTTTTCTACTATAAGCCTCAAAGCGCTCCAAATATCTACTTGCAGATTCTATAAAAAGAGTGTTTCAAAACTGCTCTATGAAAGAAAGGTTCAACTCTGTGAGTTGAATTCACACATCGCAAAGAACTTTCTGAGAATACTTCTGTCTAGTTTTTATGTGAAGATATTTCCTTTTACACCATAGGCCTCAAAACGCTCCAAATATTCACTTGCAGATTCTGCAAAAAGACTTTTTCAAAACTGCTCAATCAAAGGAAAGGTCAACTCTGTGAGTTGAATGCACACAACACAAACAAGTTTCTGAGAATGCTGCTGTCTAGTTTTTATGGGCGGATATTTCCTTTTCCACCATAGGCATCAAAGTGCTCCAAATATCCAACTGCAGATTCTACAACAAGAGTGTTTCAAAACTGCTCTATCAAAGAAAGGTTCAACTCTGTGAGTTGAATGCACACATCACAAAGACGTTTCTGAGAATGCTTCTGCTCTAGTTTTTTTGTGAAGGTGTTTCCTTTTCCACCATAGGCCTCAAAGCGCTCCAAATATCCACTTGCAGATTCTTCAGAAAGAGTGTTTCAAAACTGCTCAATCATAGGAAAAGTTCAACTCTGTGAGTTGAATGCACACAACACAAAGAAGTTTCTGAGAATGCTCTTCTGTCTAGTTTTTATATGAAGATATTTCCTTTTCTACCATATACCTCAAAGTGCTCCAAATGTCCACTTGCAGATTCTACAAAAAGAGTGTTTCAAAACTGCTCTATGAAAAAGAAAGTTCATATGTGCCACATTTTCTTAATCCAGTCTATCATTGTTAGACATTTGGTTTAGTTCCAAGTCTTTGCTA
>NC_000020.11:29978528-30017494 GCF_000001405.40 Homo sapiens | reverse complement strand
GCTGTCTAGACTTTATGTGCGGATATTTCGTTTTCCACCATAGGCATCAAAGCGCTCCAAATATCCAACCGCAGATTGTACAAAAATAGTGTTTCAAAACTGCTCTATCAAAAAAAAAGGTTCAACTCTGTGAGTTGAATGCACACAACACAAAGAACTTTCTGAGAATGCTTCTGCTATAGTTTTTTTGTAAAGGTGTTTCCTTTTCCACTATAGGCCTCAAAGCGCTCCAAATATCCACTTTCAGATTCCAGAAAAAGAGTGTTTTAAAACTGCTCTATCAACAGAAAGGTTCAAATCTGTGAGTTGAATGCACACATCACAAAGAAGTTTCTGAGAATGCTTCCGCCTAGTTTTTATGTGTAGGTATTTCCTTTTCAACCATAGGCCTCAGAGCACTCCAAATATCCACTTTCAGATTCTAGAAAAAGAGTGATTTAAAACTGCTCTATCAACAGAAAGGTTCGACTCTGTGAGTTGAATGCACTTATCACAAAGAAGTTTCTGAGAATGCTTCTGTCTAGTTTTTATGTGAAGATATTTCCTTTTCCACCATAAGCCTCAAAGCGCTCCAAATATCTACATACAGATTCTACAAAAAGAGTTTCAAAACTGCTCTACAAAAGAAAGGTTCAACTCTGTGAGTTGAATTCACACATCACAAAGAAGTTTCAGAGAATGCTTCTGTCTAGTTTTTATGTGAAGATATTTCCTTTTACACCATAGGCCTCAAACCGCTCCAAATATCCACTTGCAGATTCTGCAGAAAGACATTTTCAAAACTGCTCAATCAAAGGAAAGCTCAACTCTGTGAGTTGAATGCACACAACACAAACAAGTTTCTGAGAATGCTGCTGTCTAGTTTTTATGTGCGGATATTTCCTTTTCCACCATAGGCATCAAAGCGCTCCAAATATCCAACTGCAGATTCTACAAAAAGAGTGTTTCAAAACTGCTCTATCAAAGAAAGGTTCAACTCTGTGAGTTGAATGCACACATCACAAAGACGTTTCTGAGAATGCTTCTGCTCTACTTTTTATGTGAAGGTGTTTCCTTTTCCACCATAGGCCTCAAAGCACTCCAAATATCCACTTGCAGATTCTACAAAAAGAGTGTTTCAAAACTGCTCAATCAAAGGAAAATTTCAACTCTGTGAGTTGAATACACACAACACAAAGAAGTTTCTGAGAATGCTTCTGTCTAGTTTTTATGTGAAGATATTTCCTTTTACACCATAGGCCTCAAACTGCTCCAAATATCCACTTGTGGATTCTACAAAAAGACTTTTTCAAAACTGCTCAATCAAAGGAAAGGTTCAACTCTGTGAGTTGAATGCACACAACACAAACAAGTTTCTGAGAATGCTGCTGTCTAGATTTTATGTGCGGATATTTCGTTTTCCACCATAGGCATCAAAGCGCTCCAAACATCCAACCGCACATTGTACAAAAATAGTGTTTCAAAACTGCTCTATCAAAAAAAAAGGTTCAACTCTGTGAGTTGAATGCACACATCACAAAGAAGTTTCTGAGAATGCTTCTGCTCTAGTTTTTTTTGTGAAGGTGTTTCCTTTTCCACCATAGGCCTCAAAGCGCTCCAAATATCCACTTTCAGATTCCTGAAAAAGAGTCTTTTAAAAGTCCTCTATCAACATAAATGTTCAACTCTGTGAGTTGAATGCACTCATCACAAAGATATTTCTGAGAATGCTTCCGCCTAGTTTTTATGTGTAGGTATTTCCTTTTCCACCATAGGCCTCAGAGCACTCCAAATATCCACTTTCAGATTCTAGAAAATGAGTGATTTAAAACTGCTCTATCAACAGAAAGGTTCGACTCTGTGAGTTGAATGCACTTATCACAAAGAAGATTCTGAGAATGCTTCTGTCTAGTTTTTAAGTGAAGATATTTCCTTTTCCACCATAAGCCTCAAAGCGCTCCAAATATCTACTTACAGATTCTACAAAAAGAGTTTCAAAACTGCTCTACAAAAGAAAGGTTCAACTCTGTGAGTTGAATTCACACATCACAAAGAAGTTTCAGAGAATGCTTCTGTCTAGTTTTTATGTGAAGATATTTCCTTTTACACCACAGGCCTCAAACCGCTCCAAATATCCACTTGCAGATTCTGCAAAAAGACTTTTTCAAAACTGCTCAATCAAAGGAAAGCTCAACTCTGTGAGTTGAATGCACAGAACACAAACAAGTTTCTGAGAATGCTGCTGTCTAGTTTTTATGTGCGGATATTTCCTTTTCCACCATAGGCATCAAAGCGCTCCAAATATCCAACTGCAGATTCTACAAAAAGAGTGTTTCAAAACTGCTCTATCAAAGAAAGGTTCAACTCTGTGAGTTGAATGCACACATCACAAAGACGTTTCTGAGAATGCTTCTGCTCTAGTTTTTTTGTGAAGGTGTTTCCTTTTGCACCATAGGCCTCAAAGCGCTCCAAATATCCACTTGCAGATTCTTCAGAAAGAGTGTTTCAAAACTGCTCAATCATAGGAAAAGTTCAACTCTGTGAGTTGAATGCACACAACACAAAGAAGTTTCTGAGAATGCTCTGTCTAGTTTGTATGTGAAGATATTTCCTTTTCCATCATAGGCTTCAATGTGCTTCAAATATCCACTTGTAGATTCTACAAAAAGACTTTTTCAAAACTGCTCAATCAAAGGAAAGGTTCAACTCTGTGAGTTGAATGCACACAACACAAACAAGTTTCTGAGAATGCTGGCTGTCTAGATTTTATGTGCGGATATTTCGTTTTCCACCGTAGGCATCAAAGCGCTCCAAATATCCAACCGCAGATTGTACAAAAATAGTGTTTCAAAACTCCTCTATCAAAGAAAAAGATTCAACTCTGTGAGTTGAATGCACACATCACAAAGAAGTTTCTGAGAATGCTTCTGCTCTAGTTTTTTTTGTGAGGTGTTTCCTTTTCCACCATAGGCCTCAAAGCGCTCCAAATATCCACTTTCAGATTCCTGAAAAAGAGTGTTTTAAAACTCCTCTATCAACATAAGTGTTCAACTCTGTGAGTTGAATGCACTCATCACAAAGATATTTCTGAGAATGCTTCCGCCTAGTTTTTATGTGTAGGTATTTCCTTTTCCACCATAGGCCTCAGAGCACTCCAAATATCCACTTTCAGATTCTAGAAAAAGAGTGATTTAAAACTGCTCTATCAACAGAAAGGTTCGACTCTGTGAGTTGAATGCACTTATCACAAAGAAGTTTCTGAGAATGCTTCTGTCTAGTTTTTATGTGAAGATATTTCCTTTTCCAACATAAGCCTCAAAGCGCTCCAAATATCTACTTACAGATTCTACAAAAAGAGTTTCAAAACTGCTCTACAAAAGAAAGGTTCAACTCTGTGAGTTGAATTCACACATCACAAAGAAGTTTCAGAGAATGCTTCTGTCTAGTTTTTATGTGAAGATATTTCCTTTTACACCATAGGCCTCAAACCGCTCCAAATATCCACTTGCAGATTCTGCAAAAAGACATTTTCAAAACTGCTCAATCAAAGGAAAGGCCAACTCTGTGAGTTGAATGCACACAACACAAACAAGTTTCTGAGAATGCTGCTGTCTAGTTTTTATGTGCGGATATTTCCTTTTCCACCATAGGCATCAAAGCGCTCCAAATATCCAACTGCAGATTCTACAAAAAGAGTGTTTCAAAACTGCTCTATCAAACAAAGGTTCAACTCTGTGAGTTGAATGCACACATCACAAAGACGTTTCTGAGAATGCTTCTGCTCTAGTTTTTTTGTGAAGGTGTTTCCTTTTCCACCATAGGCCTCAAAGTGCTCCAAATATCCACTTGCAGATTCTTCAGAAAGAGTGTTTCAAAACTGCTCAATCATAGGAAAAGTTCAACTCTGTGAGTTGAATGCACACAACACAAAGAAGTTTCTGAGAATGCTTCTGTCTAGTTTTCATGTGAAGATATTTCCTTTTATACCACAGGCCTCAAACTGCTCCAAATATCCACTTGTGGATTCTACAAAAAGACTTTTTCAAAACTGCTCAATCAAAGGAAAGGTTCAACTCTGTGAGTTGAATGCACACAACACAAACATGTTTCTGAGAATGCTGCTGTCTAGATTTTATGTGCGGATATTTCGTTTTCCACCATAGGCATCAAAGCGCTCCAAATATCCAACCGCAGATTGTACAAAAATAGTGTTTCAAAACTGCTCTATCAGAAAAAAAGGTTCAACTCTGTGAGTTGAATGCACACATCACAAAGAAGTTCCTGAGAATGCTTCTGCTCTAGTTTTTTTTGTGAAGGTGTTTCCTTTTCCACCATAGGCCTCAAAGTGCTCCAAATATCCACTTTCATATTCCCGAAAAAGTGTGTTTTAAAACTCCTCTATCAACATAAATGTTCAACTCTGTGAGGTGAATGCACTCATCACAAAGATATTTCTGAGAATGCTTCCGCCTAGTTTTTATGTGTAGGTATTTCCTTTTCCACCATAGGCCTCAGAGCACTCCAAATATCCACTTTCAGATTCTAGAAAAAGAGTGATTTAAAACTGCTCTATCAACAGAAAGGTTCGACTCTGTGAGTTGAATGCACTTATCACAAAGAAGTTTCTGAGAATGCTTCTGTCTAGTTTTTATGTGAAGATATTTCCTTTTCCACCATAAGCCTCAAAGCGCTCCAAATATCTACTTACACATTCTACAAAAAGAGTTTCAAAACTGCTCTACAAAAGAAAGGTTCAACTCTGTGAGTTGAATTCACACATCACAAAGAAGTTTCAGAGAATGCTTGTCTGTCTAGTTTTTATGTGAAGATATTTCCTTTTACACCATAGGCCTCAAACCGCTCCAAATATCCACTTGCAGATTCTGCAAAAAGACTTTTTCAAAACTGCTCAATCAAAGGAAAGGTCAACTCTGTGAGTTGAATGCACACAACACAAACAAGTTCCTGAGAATGCTGCTGTCTAGTTTTTATGTGCGGATATTTCCTTTTCCACCATAGGCATCAAAGCGCTCCAAATATCCAACTGCAGATTCTACAAAAAGAGTGTTTCAAAACTGCTCTATCAAAGAAAGGTTCAACTCTGTGAGTTGAATGCACACATCACAAAGACGTTTCTGAGATTGCTTCTGCTCTAGTTTTTTTGTGAAGGTGTTTCTTTTTCCACCACAGGCCTCAAAGCGCTCCAAATATCCACTTGCAGATTCTTCAGAAAGAGTGTTTCAAAACTGCTCAATCATAGGAAAAGTTCAACTCTGTGAGTTGAATGCACACAACAAAAAGAAGTTTCTGAGAATGCTTCTGTCTAGTTTTTATGTGAAGATATTTCCTTTTACACCATAGGCCTCAAACTGCTCCAAATATCCACTTGTGGATTCTACAAAAAGACTATTTCAAAACTGCTCAATCAAAGGAAAGGTTCAACTCTGTGAGCTGAATGCACACAACACAAACAAGTTTCTGAGAATGCTGCTGTCTAGATTTTATGTGCGGATATTTCGTTTTCCACCATAGGCATCAAAGCGCTCCAAATATCCAACCGCAGATTGTACAAAAATAGTGTTTCAAAACTGCTCTATCAAATAAAAAGGTTCAACTCTGTGAGTTGAATGCACACATCACAACGAAGTTTCTGAGAATGCTTCTGCTCTAGTTTTTTTTGTGAAGGTGTTTCCTTTTCCACCATAGGCCTCAAAGCGCTCCAAATATCCACTTTCAGATTTCTGAAAAAGAGTGTTTTAAAACTCCTCTATCAACATAAGTGTTCAACTCTGTGAGTTGAATGCACTCATCACAAAATATTTCTGAGAATGCTTCCGCCTAGTTTTTATGTGTAGGTATTTCCTTTTCCACCATAGGCCACAGAGCACTCCAAATATCCACTTTCAGATTCTAGAAAAAGAGTGATTTAAAACTGCCCTATCAACAGAAAGGTTCGACTCTGTGAGTTGAATGCACTTATCACAAAGAAGTTTCTGAGAATGCTTCTGTCTAGTTTTTATGTGAAGATATTTCCTTTTCCACCATAAGCCTCAAAGCGCTCCAAATATCTACTTACAGATTCTACAAAAAGAGTTTCAAAACTGCTCTACAAAAGAAAGGTTCAACTCTGTGAGTTGAATTCACACATCACAAAGAAGTTTCAGAGAATGCTTCTGTCTAGTTTTTATGTGAAGATATTTCCTTTTACACCATAGGCCTCAAACCGCTCCAAATATCCACTTGCAGATTCTGCAAAAAGACTTTTTCAAAACTGCTCAATCAAAGGAAAGGTCAACTCTGTGAGTTGAATGCACACAACACAAACAAGTTTCTGAGAATGCTGCTGTCTAGTTTTTATGGGCGGATATTTCCTTTTCCACCATAGGCATCAAAGCGCTCCAAATATCCAACTGCAGATTCTACAAAAAGAGTGTTTCAAAACTGCTCTATCAAAGAAAGGTTCAACTCTGTGAGTTGAATGCACACATCACAAATACGTTTCTGAGAATGCTTCTGCTCTAGTTTTTTTGTGAAGGTGTTTCTTTTTCCACCACAGGCCTCAAAGCGCTACAAATATCCACTTGCAGATTCTTCAGAAAGAGTGTTTCAAAACTGCTCAATCATAGGAAAAGTTCAACTCTGTGAGTTGAATGCACACAACACAAAGAAGTTTCTGAAAATGCTTCTGTCTAGTTTTTATGTGAAGATATTTCTTTTTACACCATAGGCCTCAAACTGCTCCAAATATCCACTTGCAGATTCTACAAAAAGACTTTTTCAAAACTGCTCAATCAAAGGAAAGGTTCAACCCTGTGAGCTGAATGCACACAACACAAACATGTTTCTGAGAATGCTGCTGTCTAGATTTTATGTGCGGATATTTCCTTTTCCACCATAGGCATCAAAGCGCTCCAAATATCCAACCGCAGATTGTACAAAAATAGTGTTTCAAAACTGCTCTATCAAAAAAAAAGGTTCAACTCTGTGAGTTGAATGCACACATCACAAAGAAGTTTCTGAGAATGCTTCTGCTCTAGTTTTTTTTTGTGAAGGTGTTTCCTTTTCCACCATAGGCCTCAAAGCGCTCCAAATATCCACTTTCAGATTCCTGAAAAAGAGTGTTTTAAAACTCCTCTATCAACATAAATGTTCAACTCTGTGAGTTGAATGCACTCATCACAAAGATATTTCTGAGAATGCTTCCGCCTAGTTTTTATGTGTAGGTATTTCCTTTTCCACCATAGGCCTCAAAGCACTCCAAATATCCACTTTCAGATTCTAGAAAAAGAGTGATTTAAAACTGCTCTATCAACAGAAAGGTTCGACTCTGTGAGTAGAATGCACTTATCACAAAGAAGTTTCTGAGAATGCTTCTGTCTAGTTTTTATGTGAAGATATTTCCTTTTCCACCATAAGCCTCAAAGCGCTCCAAATATCTACTTACAGATTCTACAAAAAGAGTTTCAAAACTGCTCTACAAAAGAAAGGTTCAACTCTGCGAGTTGAATTCACACATCACAAAGAAGTTTCAGAGAATGCTTCTGTCTAGTTTTTATGTGAAGATATTTCCTTTTACACCATAGGCCTCAAACCGCTCCAAATATCCACTTGCAGATTCTGCAAAAAGACTTTTTCAAAACTGCTCAATCAAAGGAAAGGGCAACTCTGTGAGTTGAATGCACACAACACAAACAAGATTCTGAGAATGCTGCTGTCTAGTTTTTATGTGCGGATATTTCCTTTTCCACCATAGGCATCAAAGCGCTCCAAATATCCAACTGCAGATTCTACAAAAAGAGTGTTTCAAAACTGCTCTATCAAAGAAAGGTTCAACTCTGTGAGTTGAATGCACACATCACAAAGACGTTTCTGAGAATGCTTCTGCTCTAGTTTTTTTGTGAAGGTGTTTGCTTTTCCACCATAGGCCTCAAAGCGCTCCAAATATCCACTTGCAGATTCTTCAGAAAGAGTGTTTCAAAACTGCTCAATCATAGGAAAGGTTCAACTCTGTGAGTTGAATGCACACAACACAAAGAAGTTTCTGAGAATGCTTCTGTCTAGTTTTTATGTGAAGATATTTCCTTTTACACCATAGGCCTCAAACTGCTCCAAATATCCACTTGTGGATTCTACAAAAAGACTTTTTCAAAACTGCTCAATCAAAGGAAAGGTTCAACTCTGTGAGTTGAATGCACACAACACAAACAAGTTTCTGAGAATGTTGCTGTCTAGATTTTATGTGTGGATATTTCATTTTCCACCATAGGCATCAAAGCGCTCCAAATATCCTACCGCAGATTGTACAAAAATAGTGTTTCAAAACCGCTCTATCAAAAAAAAAGATTCAACTCTGTGAGTTGAATGCACACATCACAAAGAAGTTTCTGAGAATGCTTCTGCTCTAGTTTTTTTTGTGAAGGTGTTTCCTTTTCCACCATAGGCCTCAAAGCGCTCCAAATATCCACTTTCAGATTCCTGAAAAAGAGTGTTTTAAAACTCCTCTATCAACATAAATGTTCAACTCTGTGAGTTGAATGCACTCATCACAAAGATATTTCTGAGAATGCTTCCGCCTAGTTTTTATGTGTAGGTATCTCCTTTTCCACCATAGGCCTCAAAGCACTCCAAATATCCACTTTCAGATTCTAGAAAAAGAGTGATTTAAAACTGCTCTATCAACAGAAAGGTTCAACTCTCTGAGTTGAATGCACTTATCACGAAGAAGTTTCTGAGAATGCTTCTGTCTAGTTATTATGTGAAGATATTTCCTTTTCCACCATAAGCCTCAAAGCGCTCCAAATATCTAGTTACAGATTCTACAAAAAGAGTTTCAAAACTGCTCTACAAAAGAAAGGTTCAACTCTGCGAGTTCAATTCACACATCACAAAGAAGTTTCAGAGAATCCTTCTGTCTAGTTTTTATGTGAAGATATTTCCTTTTACACCATAGGCCTCAAACCGCTCCAAATATCCACTTGCAGATTCTGCAAAAAGACTTTTTCAAAACTGCTCAATCAAAGGAAAGGTCAACTCTGTGAGTTGAATGCACACAACACAAACAAGTTTCTGAGAATGCTGCTGTCTACTTTTTATGTGCGGATATTTCCTTTTCCACCATAGGCATCAAAGCGCTCCAAATATCCAACTGCAGATTCTACAAAAAGAGTGTTTCAAAACTGCTCTATCAAAGAAAGGTTCAACTCTGTGGGTTGAATGCACACATCACAAAGACGTTTCTGAGAATGCTTCTGCTCTAGTTTTTTTGTGAAGGTGTTTCCTTTTCCACCATAGGCCTCAAAGCGCTCCAAATATCCACTTGCAGATTCTTCAGAAAGAGTGTTTCAAAACTGCTCAATCATAGGAAAAGTTCAACTCTGTGAGTTGAATGCACACAACACAAAGAAGTTTCTGAGAATGCTTCTGTCTAGTTTTTATGTGAAGATATTTCCTTTTACACCATAGGCCTCAAACTGCTCCAAATATCCACTTGTGGATTCTACAAAAAGACTTTTTCAAAACTGCTCAATCAAAGGAAAGGTTCAACTCTGTGAGCTGAATGCACACAACACAAACAAGTTTCTGAGAATGCTGCTGTCTAGATTTTATGTGCGGATATTTCGTTTTCCAACATAGGCATCAAAGCGCTCCAAATATCCAACCGCAGATTGTACAAAAATAGTGTTTCAAAACTGCTCTATCAAAAAAAAAGTTTCAACTCTGTGAGTTGAATGCACACATCACAAAGAACTTTCTGAGAATGCATCTGCTCTAGTTTTTCTTGTGAAGGTGTTTCCTTTTCCACCACAGGCCTCAAAGCGCTCCAAATATCCTCTTTCAGATTCCTGAAAAAGAGTGTTTTAGAACTCCTCTATCAACATAAGTGTTCAACTCTGTGAGTTGAATGAACTCATCACAAAGATATTTCTGAGAATGCTTCCGCCTAGTTTTTATGTGTAGGTATTTCCTTTTCCACCATAGGCCTCAAAGCACTCCAAATATCCACTTTCAGATTCTAGAAAAAGAGTGATTTAAAACTGCTCTATCAACAGAAAGGATCGACTCTGTGAGTTGAATGCACTTATCACAAAGAATTTTCTGAGAATGCTTCTGTCTAGTTTTTATGTGAAGATATTTCCTTTTCCACCATAAGCCTCAAAGCGCTCCAAATATCTACTTACAGATTCTACATAAAGAGTTTCAAAACTGCTCTACAAAAGAAAGGTTCAACTCTGTGAGTTGAATTCACACATCACAAAGAAGTTTCAGAGAATGCTTCCGTCTAGATTTTATGTGAAGATATTTCCTTTTACACCATAGGCCTCAAACCGCTCCAAATATCCACTTGCAGATTCTGCAAAAAGACTTTTTCAAAACTGCTCAATCAAAGGAAAGGTTCAACTCTGTGAGTTGAATGCACACAACACAAACAAGTTTCTGAGAATGCTGCTGTCTAGTTTTTATGTGCGGATATTTCCTTTTCCACCATAGGCATCAAAGCGCTCCAAATATCCAACTGCAGATTCTACAAAAAGAGGGTTTCAAAACTGCTCTATCAAAGAAAGGTTCAACCCTGTGAGTTGAATGCACACATCACAAAGACGTTTCTGAGAATGCTTCTGCTCTAGTTTTTTTGTGAAGGTGTTTCCTTTTCCACCATAGGCCTCAAAGCGCTCCAAATATCCACTTGCAGATACTTCAGAAAGAGTGTTTCAAAACTGCTCAATCATAGGAAAAGTTCAACTCTGTGAGTTGAATGCACACAACACAAAGAAGTTTCTGAGAATGCTTCTGTCTAGTTTTTATGTGAAGATATTTCCTTTTACACCATAGGCCTCAAACTGCTCCAAATATCCACTTGTGGATTCTACAAAAAGACTTTTTCAAAACTGCTCAATCAAAGGAAAGGTTCAACTCTGTGAGTTGAATGCACACAACACAAACAAGTTTCTGAGAATGCTGCTCGTCTAGATTTTATGTGCGGATATTTCGTTTTCCACCATAGGCATCAAAGCGCTCCAAATATCCAACCGCAGATTGTACAAAAATAGTGTTTCAAAACTGCTCTATCAAAAAAAAAGGTTCAACTCTGTGAGTTGAATGCACACATCACAAAGAAGTTTCTGAGAATGCTTCTGCTCTAGTTTTTTTTGTGAAGGTGTTTCCTTTTCCACCACAGGCCTCAAAGCGCTCCAAATATCCACTTTCAGATTCCTGAAAAAGAGTGTTTTAAAACTCCTCTATCAACATAAGTGTTCAACTCTGTGAGTTGAATGCACTCATCACAAAGATATTTCTGAGAATGCTTCCGCCTAGTTTTTATGTGTAGGTATTTCCTTTTCCACCATAGGCCTCAGAGCACTCCAAATATCCACCTTCAGATTCTAGAAAAAGAGTGATTTAAAACTGCTCCATCAACAGAAAGGTTCGACTCTGTGAGTTGAATGCACTGATCACAAAGAAGTTTCTGAGAATGCTTCTGTCTAGTTTTTATGTGAAGATATTTCCTTTTCCACCATAAGCCTCAAAGCGCTCCAAATATCTACTTACAGATTCTACAAAAAGAGTTTCAAAACTGCTCTACAAAAGAAAGGTTCAACTCTGTGAGTTGAATTCACACATCACAAAGAAGTTTCAGAGAATGCTTCTGTCTAGTTTTTATGTGAAGATATTTCCTTTTACACCACAGGCCTCAAACCGCTCCAAATATCCACTTGCAGATTCTGCAAAAAGACTTTTTCAAAACTGCTCAATCAAAGGAAAGCTCAACTCTGTGAGTTGAATGCACAGAACACAAACAAGTTTCTGAGAATGCTGCTGTCTAGTTTTTATGTGCGGATATTTCCTTTTCCACCATAGGCATCAAAGCGCTCCAAATATCCAACTGCAGATTCTACAAAAAGAGTGTTTCAAAACTGCTCTATCAAAGAGAGGTTCAACTCTGTGAGTTGAATGCACACATCACAAAGACGTTTCTGAGAATTCTTCTGCTCTAGTTTTTTTGTGAAGGTGTTTCCTTTTCCACCATAGGCCTCAAAGCGCTCCAAATATCCACTTGCAGATTCTTCAGAAAGAGTGTTTCAAAACTGCTCAATCATAGGAAAAGTTCAACTCTGTGAGTTGAATGCACACAACACAAAGAAGTTTCTGAGAATGCTTCTGTCTAGTTTTTATGTGAAGATATTTCCTTTTACACCATAGGCCTCAAACTGCTCCAAATATCCACTTGTGGATTCTACAAAAAGACTTTTTCAAAAGTGCTCAATCAAAGGAAAGGTTCAACTCTGTGAGTTGAATGCACACAACACAAACAAGTTTCTGAGAATGCTGCTGTCTAGATTTCATGTGCGGATATTTCGTTTTCCACCATAGGCATCAAAGCGCTCCAAATATCCAACCGCAGATTGTACAAAAATAGTGTTTCAAAACAGCTCTATCAAATAAAAAGGTTCAACTCTGTGAGTTGAATGCACACATCACAACGAAGTTTCTGAGAATGCTTCTGCTCTAGTTTTTTTTGTGAAGGTGTTTCCTTTTCCACCATAGGCCTCAAAGCGCTCCAAATATCCACTTTCAGATTCCTGAAAAAGAATGTTTTAAAACTCCTCTATCAACATAAGTTTTCAACTCTGTGAGTTGAATGCACTCATCACAAAGGTACTTCTGAGAATGCTTCCACCTAGTTTTTATGTGTAGGTATTTCCTTTTCCACCATAGGCCTCAAAGCACTCCAAATATCCACTTTCAGATTCTAGAAAAAGAGTGATTTAAAACTGCTCTATCAACAGAAAGGTTCGACTCTGTGAGTTGAATGCACTTATCACAAAGATGTTTCTGAGAATTCTTCTGTCTAGTTTTTATGTGAAGATATTTCCTTTTCCACCATAAGCCTCAAAGCGCTCCAAATATCTACTTACAGATTCTACAAAAAGAGTTTCAAAACTGCTCTACAAAAGAAAGGTTCAACTCCGTGAGTTGGATTCACACATCACAAAGAAGTTTCAGAGAATGCTTCTGTCTAGTTTTTATGTGAAGATATTTCCTTTTACACCATAGGCCTCAAACCGCTCCAAATATCCACTTGCAGATTCTGCAAAAAGACTTTTTCAAAACTGCTCAATCAAAGGAAAGCTCAACTCTGTGAGTTGAATGCACAGAACACAAACAAGTTTGTGAGAATGCTGCTGTCTAGTTTTTATGGCCGGATATTTCCTTTTCCACCATAGGCATCAAAGCGCTCCAAATATCCAACTGCAGATTCTACAAAAAGAGTGTTTCAAAACTGCTCTATCAAAGAAAGGTTCAACTCTGTGAGTTGAATGCACACATCACAAAGACGTTTCTGAGAATGCTTCTGCTCTAGTTTTTTTGTGAAGGTGTTTCCTTTTCCACCATAGGCCTCAAAGCGCTCCAAATATCCACTTGCAGATTCTTCAGAAAGAGTGTTTCAAAACTGCTCAATCATAGGAAAAGTTCAACTCTGTGAGTTGAATGCACACAACACAAACAAGTTTCTGAGAATGTTTCTGTCTAGTTTTTATGTGAAGATATTTCCTTTTACACCATAGGCCTCAAACTGCTCCAAATATCCACTTGTGGATCCTACAAAAAGACTATTTCAAAACTGCTCAATCAAAGGAAAGGTTCAACTCTGTGAGCTGAATGCACACAACACAAACAAGTTTCTGAGAATGCTGCTGTCTAGATTTCATGTGCGGATATTTCGTTTTCCACCATAGGCATCAAAGCGCTCCAAATATCCAACCCCAGATTGTACAAAAATAGTGTTTCAAAACTTCTCTATCAAATAAAAAGGTTCAACTCTGTGAGTTGAATGCACACATCACAACGAAGTTTCTGAGAATGCTTCTGTCTAGTTTTTACGTGAAGATATTTCCTTTTACACCATAGGCCTCAAACCGCTCCAAATATCCACTTGCAGATTCCTGAAAAAGAGTGTTTTAAAACTCCTCTATCAACATAAATGTTCAACTCTGTGAGTTGAATGCACTCATCACAAAGATATTTCTGAGAATGCTTCCGCCTAGTTTTTATGTGTAGGTATTTCCTTTTCCACCATAGGCCTCAAAGCACTCCAAATATCCACTTTCAGATTCTAGAAAAAGAGTGATTTAAAACTGCTCTATCAACAGAAAGGTTCGACTCTGTGAGTTGAATGCACTTATCACAAAGAAGTTCCTGAGAATGCTTCTGTCTAGTATTTATGTGAAGATATTCCCTTTTCCACCATAAGCCTCAAAGCGCTCCAAATATCTACTTACAGATTCTACAAAAAGAGTTTCAAAACTGCTCTACAAAAGAAAGGTTCAACTCTGCGAGTTGAATTCACACATCACAAAGAAGTTTCAGAGAATGCTTCTGTCTAGTTTTTACGTGAAGATATTTCCTTTTACACCATAGGCCTCAAACCGCTCCAAATATCCACTTGCAGATTCTGCAAAAAGACTTTTTCAAAACTGCTCAATCAAAGGAAAGGTGAACTCTGTGAGTTGAATGCACACAACACAAACAAGTTTCTGAGAATGCTGCTGTCTAGTTTTTATGGGCGGATATTTCCTTTTCCACCATAGGCATCAAAGCGCTCCAATTATCCAACTGCAGATTCCACAAAAAGAGTGTTTCAAAACTGCTCTATCAAAGAAAGGTTCAACTCTGTGAGTTGAATGCACACATCACAAAGACGTTTCTGAGATTGCTTCTGCTCTAGTTTTTTTTGTGAAGGTGTTTGCTTTTCCACCATAGACCTCAAAGCACTCCAAATATCCACTTGCAGATTCTTCAGAAAGAGTGTTTCAAAACTGCTCAATCATAGGAAAAGTTCAACTTTGTGAGTTGAATGCACACAACACAAAGAAGTTTCTGAGAATGCTTCTGTCTAGTTTTTATGTGAAGATATTTCCTTTTACACCATAGGCCTCAAACTGCTCCAAATATCCACTTGTGGATTCTTCAAAAAGACTTTTTCAAAACTGCTCAATCAAAGGAAAGGTTCAACTCTGTGAGTTGAATGCACACAACACAAACAAGTTTCTGAGAATGCTGCTGTCTAGATTTTATGTGCGGATATTTCGTTTTCCACCATCGGCAACAAAGCGCTCCAATTATCCAACCGCAGATTGTACAAAAATAGTGTTTCAAGACTGCTCTATCAAAAAAAAAGTTTCAACTCTGTGAGTTGAATGCACACATCACAAAGAAGTTTCTGAGAATGCTTCTGCTCTAGTTTTTTTTGTGAAGGTGTTTCCTTTTCCACCATAGGCCTCAAAGCGCTCCAAATATCCACTTTCATATTCCCGAAAAAGTGTGTTTTAAAACTCCTCTATCAACATAAATGTTCAACTCTGTGAGGTGAATGCACTCATCACAAAGATATTTCTGAGAATGCTTCCATCTAGTTTTTATGTGAAGATATTTCCTTTTCCTCCATAGGCCTCAAAGCGCTCCAAATATCCACTTTCAGATTCTAGAAAAAGAGTGTTTTAAAACTGCTCTATCAAAAGAAAGGCTCAACTCTGTGGGTTGAATGCACTTATCACAAAGAAGTTTCTGAGAATGCTTCTGTCTAGTTTTTATGTGAAGATATTTCCTTTTCCACCAGAAGCCTCAAAGCGCTCCAAATATCTACTTACAGATTCTGCACAAAGAGTTTCAAAACTGCTCTACAAAAGAAAGGTTCAACTCTGTGAGTTGAATTCACACATCACAAAGAAGTTTCAGAGAATGCTTCTGTCTAGTTTTTATGTGAAGATATTTCCTTTTACACCATAGGCCTCAAACCGCTCCAAATATCCACTTGCAGATTCTGCAAAAAGACTTTTTCAAAACTGCTCAATCAAAGGAAAGCTCAACTCTGTGAGTTGAATGCACACAACACAAACAAGTTTCTGAGAATGCTGCTGTCTAGTTTTTATGGGCGGATATTTCCTTTTCCACCACAGGCATCAAAGCGCTCCAAATATCCAACTGCAGATTCTACAAAAAGAGTGTTTCAAAACTGCTCTATCAAAGAAAGGTTCAACTCTGTGAGTTGAATGCACACATCACAAAGACGTTTCTGAGAATGCTTCTGCTCTAGTTTTTTTGTGAAGGTGTTTCCTTTTCCACCATAGGCCTCAAAGCGCTCCAAATATCCACTTGCAGATTCTTCAGAAAGAGTGTTTCAAAACTGCTCAATCATAGGAAAAGTTCAACTCTGTGAGTTGAATGCACACAACACAAAGAAGTTTCTGAGAATGCTTCTGTCTAGTTTTTATGTGAAGATATTTCCTTTTACACCATAGGCCTCAAACAGCTCCAAATATCCACTTGTGGATTCTACAAAAAGTCTTCTTCAAAACTGCTCAATCAAAGGAAAGGTTCAACTCTGTGAGCTGAATGCACACAACACAAACAAGTTTCTGAGAATGCTGCTGTCTAGATTTTATGTCCGGACATTTCGTTTTCCACCATAGGCATCAAAGCGCTCCAAATATCCAACCGCAGATTGTACAAAAATAGTGTTTGAAAACTGCTCTATCAAAAAAAAAGGTTCAACTCTGTGAGTTGAATGCACACATCACAAAGAAGTTTCTGAGAATGCTTCTGCTCTAGTTTTTTTTGTGAAGGTGTTTCCTTTTTCACCACAGGCCTCAAAGCGCTCCAAATATCCAGTTTCAGATTCCTGAAAAAGAGTGTTTTAAAACTCCTCTATCAGCATAAATGTTCAACTCTGTGAGTTGAATGCACTCATCACAAAGATATTTCTGAGAATGCTTCCGCCTAGTTTTTATGTGTAGGTATTTCCTTTTCCACCATAGGCCTCAGAGCACTCCAAATATCCACTTTCAGATTCTAGAAAAAGAGTGATTTAAAACTGCTCTATCAACAGAAAGGTTCGACTCTGTGAGTTGAATGCACTTATCACAAAGAAGTTTCTGAGAATGCTTCTGTCTAGTTTTTATGTGAAGATATTTCGTTTTCCACCATAAGCCTCAAAGCGCTCCAAATATCTACTTACAGATTCTACAAAAAGAGTTTCAAAACTGCTCTACAAAAGAAAGGTTCAACTCTGTGAGTTGAATTCACACATCACAAAGAAGTTTCAGAGAATGCTTCTGTCTAGTTTTTATGTGAAGATATTTCCTTTTACACCATAGGCCTCAAACCGCCCCAAATATCCACTTGCAGATTTTGCAAAAAGACTTTTTCAAAACTGCTCAATCAAAGGAAAGCTCAACTCTGTGAGTTGAATGCACACAACACAAACAAGTTTCTGAGAATGCTGCTGTCTAGTTTTTATGTGCGGATATTTCCTTTTCCACCATAGGCATCAAAGCGCTCCAAATATCCAACTGCAGATTCTACAAAAAGAGTGTTTCAAAACTGCTCTATCAAAGAAAGGTTCAACTCTGTGAGTTGAATGCACACATCACAAAGACGTTTCTGAGAATGCTTCTGCTCTAGTTTTTTTGTGAAGGTGTTTCCTTTTCCACCATAGGCCTCAAAGCGCTCCAAATATCCACTTGCAGATTCTTCAGAAAGAGTGTTTCAAAACTGCTCAATCATAGGAAAAGTTCAACTCTGTGAGTTGAATGCACACAACACAAACAAGTTTCTGAGAATGCTTCTGTCTAGTTTTTATGTGAAGATATTTCCTTTTACACCATAGGCCTCAAACTGCTCCAAATATCCACTTGTGGATTCTACAAAAAGACTTTTTCAAAACTGCTCAATCAAAGGAAAGGTTCAACTCTGTGAGTTCAATGCACACAACACAAACAAGTTTCTGAGAATGCTGCTGTCTAGATTTTATGTGCGGATATTTCGTTTTCCACCATAGGCATCAAAGCGCTCCAAATATCCAACCGCAGATTGTACAAAAATAGTGTTTCAAAACTGCTCTTTCAAAAAAAAAGGTTCAACTCTGTGAGTTGAATGCACACATCACAAAGAAGTTTCTGAGAATGCTTCTGCTCTAGTTTTTTTTGTGATGGTGTTTCCTTTTCCACCATAGGCCTCAAAGTGCTCCAAATATCCACTTTCAGATTCCTGAAAAAGAGTGTTTTAAAACTCCTCTATCAACATAAGTGTTCAACTCTGTGAGTTGAATGCACTCATCACAAAGATACTTCTGAGAATGCTTCCGCCTAGTTTTTATGTGTAGGTATTTCCTTTTCCACCATAGGCCTCAAAGCACTCCAAATATCCACTTTCAGATTCTAGAAAAAGAGTGATTTAAAACTGCTCTATCAACAGAAAGGTTCTACTCTGTGGGTTGAATGCACTTATCACAAAGAAATTTCTGAGAATGCTTCTGTCTAGTTTTTATGTGAAGATATTTCCTTTTCCACCATAAGCCTCAAAGCGCTCCAAATATCTACTTACAGATTCTACAAAAAGAGTTTCAAAACTGCTCTACAAAAGAAAGGTTCAACTCTGTGAGTTGAATTCACACATCACAAAGAAGTTTCAGAGAATGCTTCTGTCTAGTTTTTATGTGAAGGTATTTCCTTTTACACCATAGGCCTCAAACCGCTCCAAATATCCACTTGCAGATTCTGCAAAAAGACATTTTCAAAACTGCTCAATCAAAGGAAAGCTCAACTCTGTGAGTTGAATGCACACAACACAAACAAGTTTCTGAGAATGCTGCTGTCTAGTTTTTATGGGCGGATATTTCCTTTTCCACCATATGCATCAAAGCGCTCCAAATATCCAACTGCAGATTCTACAAAAAGAGTGTTTCAAAACTGCTCTATCAAAGAAAGGTTCAACTCTGTGAGTTGAATGCACACATCACAAAGACGTTTCTGAGAATGCTTCTGCTCTAGTTTTTTTGTGAAGGTGTTTCCTTTTCCACCATAGGCCTCAAAGCGCTCCAAATATCCACCTGCAGATACTTCAGAAAGAGTGTTTCAAAACTGCTCAATCATAGGAAAAGTTCAACTCTGTGAGTTGAATGCACACAACACAAAGAAGTTTCTGAGAATGCTTCTGTCTAGTTTTTATGTGAAGATATTTCCTTTTACACCATAGGCCTCAAACTGCTCCAAATATCCACTTGTGGATTCTACAAAAAGACTTTTTCAAAACTGCTCAATCAAAGGAAAGGTTCAACTCTGTGAGTTGAATGCACACAACACAAACAAGTTTCTGAGAATGCTGCTGTCTAGATTTTATGTGCGGATATTTCGTTTTCCACCATAGGCATCAAAGCGCTCCAAATATCCAACTGCAGATTGTACAAAAATAGTGTTTCAAAACTGCTCTATCAAAAAAAAAGATTCAACTCTGTGAGTTGAATGCACACATCACAAAGAACTTTCTGAGAATGCTTCTGCTCTAGTTTTTTTTGTGAAGGTGTTTCCTTTTCCACCATAGGCCTCAAAGCGCTACAAATATCCACTTTCAGATTCCAGAAAAAGAGTGTTTTAAAACTCCTCTATCAACATAAATGTTCAACTCTTTGTGTTGAATGCACTCATCACAAAGATATTTCTGAGAATGCTTCCGCCTAGTTTTTATGTGTAGGTATTTCCTTTTCCACCATAGACCTCAAAGCACTCCAAATATCCACTTTCAGATTCTAGAAAAAGAGTGATTTAAAACTGCTCTATCAACAGAAAGGTTCGACTCTGTGAGTTGAATGCACTTATCACAAAGAACTTTCTGAGAATGCTTCTGTCTAGCATTTTATGTGAAGATATTTCCTTTTCCACCATAAGACTCAAAGCGCTCCAAATATCTACTTACAGATTCTACAAAAAGAGTTTCAAAACTGCTCTACAAAAGAAAGGTTCAACTCTGCGAGTTGAATTCACACATCACAAAGAAGTTTCAGAGAATGCTTCTGTCTAGTCTTTATGTGAAGATATTTCCTTTTACACCATAGGCCTTAAACCGCTCCAAATGTCCACTTGCAGATTCTACAAAAAGACTTTTTCAAAACTGCTCAATCAAAGGAAAGGTCAACTCTGTGAGTTGAATGCACACAACACAAACAAGTTTCTGAGCATGCTGCTGTCTAGTTTTTATGGGCGGACATTTCCTTTACCACCATAGGCATCAAAGCGCTCCAAATATCCAACTGCAGATTCTACAAAAAGAGTGTTTCAAAACTGCTCTATCAAAGAAAGGTTCAACTCTGTGAGTTGAATGCACACATCACAAAGACGTTTCTGAGAATGCTTCTTCTCTAGTTTTTTTGTGAAGGTGTTTCCTTTTCCACCATATGCCTCAAAGCGCTCCAATTATCCACTTGCAGATTCTTCAGAAAGAGTGTTTCAAAACTGCTCAATCATAGGAAAAGTTCAACTCTGTGAGTTGAATGCACACAACACAAAGAAGTTTCTGAGAATGTTTCTGTCTAGTTTTTATGTGAAGATATTTCCTTTTACACCATAGGCCTCAAACTGCTCCAAATATCCACTTGTGGATTCTACAAAAAGACTTTTTCAAAACTGCTCAATCAAAGGAAAGGTTCAACTCTGTGAGTTGAATGCACACAACACAAACAAGTTTCTGAGAATGCTGCTGTCTAGATTTTATGTGCGGATATTTCGTTTTCCACCATAGGCATCAAAGCGCTCCAAATATCCAACCGCAGATTGTACAAAAATAGTGTTTCAAAACTGCTCTATGAAAAAAAAAGGTTCAACTCTGTGAGTTGAATGCACACATCACAAAGAAGTTTCTGAGAATGCTTCTGCTCTAGTTTTTTTTTGTGATGGTGTTTCCTTTTCCACCATAGGCCTCAAAGCGCTCCAAATATCCACTTTCAGATTCCTGAAAAAGAGTGTTTTAAAACTCCTCTATCAACATAAATGTTCAACTCTGTGAGTTGAATGCACTCATCACAAAGATATTTCTGAGAATGCTTCCGCCTAGTTTTTATGTGTAGGTATTTCCTTTTCCACCATAGGCCTCAAAGCACTCCAAATATCCACTTTCAGATTCTAGAAAAAGAGTGATTTAAAACTGTTCTATCAACAGAAAGGTTCTACTCTGTGGGTTGAATGCACTTATCACAAAGAAGTTTCAGAGAATGCTTCTGTCTGTCTAGTTTTTATGTGTAGATATTTCCTTTTCCACCCTAGGCCTCAAAGCTCTCCAAATATCCACTTTCAGATTCTACAAAAAGAGTGTTTCAAAACTGCTCTATCAAAAGAAAGGATCAAATCTGTGAGTTGAATGCACACATCACAAAGAAGTTTCTGAGAATTCTCTGTCTAGTTTTTATGTGAAGATATTTCCTTTTACACCATAGGCCTCAAACCGCTCCAAATATCAACTTGCAGATTCTGCAAAAAGACTTTTTCAAAACTGCTCAATCAAAGGAAAGGTCAACTCTGTGAGTTGAATGCACACAACACAAACAAGTTTCTGAGAATGCTGGCTGTCTTGTTTTTATGTGCGGATATTTCCTTTTCCACCATAGGCATCAAAGCGCTCCAAATATCCAACTGCAGATTCTACAAAAAGAGTGTTTCAAAACTGCTCTATCAAAGAAAGGTTCAACTCTGTGAGTTGAATGCACACATCACAAAGACTTTTCTGAGAATGCTTCTGCTCTTGTTTTTTTGTGAAGGTGTTTCCTTTTCCACCATAGGCCTCAAAGCGCTCCAAATATCCACTTGCAGATTCTTCAGAAAGAGTGTTTCAAAACTGCTAAATCATAGGAAAAGTTCAACTCTGTGAGTTGAATGCACACAACACAAAGAAGTTTCTGAGAATGCTTCTGTCTAGTTTTTATGTGAAGATATTTCCTTTTACACCATAGGCCTCAAACTGCTCCAAATATCCACTTGTGGATTCTACAAAAAGACTTTTTCAAAACTGCTCAATCAAAGGAAAGGTTCAACTCTGTGAGTTGAATGCACACAACACAAACAAGTTTCTGAGAATGCTGCTGTCTAGATTTTATGTGCGGATATTTCGTTTTCCACCATAGGCATCAAAGCGCCCCTAATATCCAACCGCAGATTGTACAAAAATAGTGTTTCAAAACTGCTCTATCAAAAAAAAAGGTTCAACTCTGTGAGTTGAATGCACACATCACAAAGAAGTTCCTGAGAATGCTTCTGCTCTAGTTTTTTTTGTGAAGGTGTTTCCTTTTCCACCATAGGCCTCAAAGCGCTCCAAATATCCACTTTCAGATTCCCGAAAAAGAGTGTTTTAAAACTCCTCTATCAACATAAATGTTCAACTCTGTGAGTTGAATGCACTCATCACAAAGATATTTCTGAGAATGCTTCCGCCTAGTTTTTATGTGTAGGTATTTCCTTTTCCACCATAGGCCTCAGAGCACTCCAAATATCCACTTTCAGATTCTAGAAAAAGTGTGATTTAAAACTGCTCTATCAACAGAAAGGTTCGACTCTGTGAGTTGAATGCACTTATCACAAAGAAGTTTCTGAGAATGCTTCTGTCTAGTTTTTATGTGAAGATATTTCCTTTTCCACCATAAGCCTCAAAGCGCTCCAAATATCTATTTACAGATTCTACAAAAAGAGTTTCAAAACTGCTCTACAAAAGAAAGGTTCAACTCCGTGAGTTGAATTCACACATCACAAAGAAGTTTCAGAGAATGCTTCTGTCTAGTTTTTATGTGAAGATATTTCCTTTTACACAATAGGCATCAAACCGCTCCAAATATCAACTTGCAGATTCTGCAAAAAGACTTTTTCAAAACTGCTCAATCAAAGGAAAGGTCAACTCTGTGAGTTGAATGCACACAACACAAACAAGTTTCTGAGAATGCTGCTGTCTAGTTTTTATGTGTGGATATTTCCTTTTCCACCATAGGCATCAAAGAGCTCCAAATATCCAATTGCAGAAACAAAAAGAGTGTTTCAAAACTGCTCTATCAAAGAAAGGTTCAACTCTGTGAGTTGAATGCACACATCACAAAGAAGTTTCTGAGAATGCTTCTGCTCTAATTTTTTTGTGAAGGTGTTTTCTTTTCCACCATAGACCTCAAAGCACTCCAAATATCCACTTGCAGATTCTTCAGAAAGAGTGTTTCAAAACTGCTCAACCATAGGAAAAGTTCAACTTTGTGAGTTGAATGCACACAATACAAAGAAGTTTCTGAGAATGCTTCCGTCTAGTTTTTATGTGAAGATATTTCCTGTTACACCATAGGCCTCAAACTGCTCCAAATATCCACTTGTGGATTCTACAAAAAGACTTTTTCAAAACTGCTCAATCAAAGGAAAGGTTCAACTCTGTGAGTTGAATGCACACAACACAAACAAGTTTACTGAGAATGCTGCTGTCTAGATTTTATGTGCGGATATTTCGTTTTCCACCATAGGCATGAAAGCGCTCCAAATATCCAACTGCAGATTGTACAAAAATAGTGTTTCAAAACTGCTCTATCAAAAAAAAAGGTTCAACTCTGTGAGTTGAATGCACACATTACAAAGAAGTTTCTGAGAATGCTTCTGCTCTAGTTTTTTTTGTGAAGGTGTTTCCTTTTCCACCATAGGCCTCAAAGCGCTCCAAATATCCACTTTCAGATTCCTGAAAAAGAGTGTTTTAAAACTCCTCTATCAACATAAATGTTCAACTCTGTGAGTTGAATGCACTCATCACAAAGATATTTCTGAGAATGCTTCGGCCTAGTTTTTATGTGTAGGTATTTCCTTTTCCACCATAGGCCACAAAGCACTCCAAATATCCACTTTCAGATGTTAGAAAAAGAGTGATTTTAAACTGCTCTATCAACAGAAAGGTTCGACTCTGTGAGTTGAATGCACTTATCACAAAGAAGTTTCTGAGAATGCTTCTGTCTAGTTTTTATGTGAAGATATTTCCTTTTCCACCATAAGCCTCAAAGCGCTCCAAATATCTACTTACAGATTCTACAAAAAGAGTTTCAAAACTGCTCTACAAAAGAAAGGTTCAACTCTGCGAGTTGAATTCACACATCACAAAGAAGTTTCAGAGAATGCTTCTGTCTAGTTTTTATGTGAAGATATTTCCTTTTACACCATAGGCCTCAAACCGCTCCAAATATCCACTTGCAGATTCTGCAAAAAGACTTTTTCAAAACTGCTCAATCAAAGGAAAGGTCAACTCTGTGAGTTGAATGCACACAACACAAACAAGTTTCTGAGAATGCTGCTGTCTACTTTTTATGTGCGGATATTTCCTTTTCCACCATAGGCATCAAAGCGCTCCAAATATCCAACTGCAGATTCTACAAAAAGAGTGTTTCAAAACTGCTCTATCAAAGAAAGGTTCAACTCTGTGAGTTGAATGCACACATCACAAAGACGTTTCTGAGAATGCTTCTGCTCTAGTTTTTTTGTGAAGGTGTTTCCTTTTCCACCGTAGGCCTCAAAGCGCTCCAAATATCCACTTGCAGATTCTTCAGAAAGAGTGTTTCAAAACTGCTCAATCATAGGAAACGTTCAACTCTGTGAGTTCAATGCACACAACACAAAGAAGTTTCTGAGAATGCTTCCGTCTAGTTTTTATGTGAAGATATTTCCTGTTACACCATAGGCCTCAAACTGCTCCAAATATCCACTTGTGGATTCTACAAAAAGACTTTTTCAAAACTGCTCAATCAAAGGAAAGGTTCAACTCTGTGAGTTGAATGCACACAACACAAACAAGTTTCTGAGAATGCTGCTGTCTAGATTTTATGTGCGGATATTTCGTTTTCCACCATAGGCATCAAAGCGCTACAAATATCCAACCGCAGATTGTACAAAAATAGTGTTTCAAAACTGCTCTATGAAAAAAAAAGGTTCAACTCTGTGAGTTGAATGCACACATCACAAAGAAGTTTCTGAGAATGCTTCTGCTCTAGTTTTTTTTGTGAAGGTGTTTCCTTTTCCACCATAGGCCTCAAAGCGCTCCAAATATCCACTTTCAGATTCCTGAAAAAGAGTGTTTTAAAACTCCTCTATCAACATAAGTGTTCAACTCTGTGAGTTGAATGCACTCATCACAAAGATATTTCTGAGAATGCTTCCGCTTAGTTTTTATGTGTAGGTATTTCCTTTTCCACCATAGGCCTCAAAGCACTCCAAATATCCACTTTCAGATTCTAGAAAAAGAGTGATTTAAAACTGCTCTATCAACAGAAAGGTTCCACTCTGTGAGTTGAATGCACTTATCACAAGGAAGTTTCTGAGAATGCTTCTGTCTAGTTTTTATGTGAAGATATTTCCTTTTCCACCATAAGCCTCAAAGCGCTCCAAATATCTACTTACACATTCTACAAAAAGAGTTTCAAAACTGCTCTACAAAAGAAAGGTTCAACTCTGTGAGGTTGAATTCACACATCACAAAGAAGTTTCAGAGAATGCTTCTGTCTAGTTTTTATGTGAAGATATTTCCTTTTACACCATAGGCCTCAAACCGCTCCAAATATCCACTTGCAGATTCTGCAAAAAGACTTTTTCAAAACTGCTCAATCAAAGGAAAGGTCAACTCTGTGAGTTGAATGCACACAACACAAACAAGTTTCTGAGAATGCTGCTGTCTAGTTTTTATGTGCGGATATTTCCTTTTCCACCATAGGCATCAAAGCGCTCCAAATATCCAACTGCAGATTCTAGAAAAAGAGTGTTTCAAAACTGCTCTATCAAAGAAAGGTTCAACTCTGTGAGTTGAATGCACACATCACAAAGACGTTTCTGAGAATTCTTCTGCTCTAGTTTTTTTTGTGAAGGTGTTTGCTTTTCCACCATAGACCTCAAAGCACTCCAAATATCCACTTGCAGATTCTTCAGAAAGAGTGTTTCAAAACTGCTCAATCATAGGAAAAGTTCAACTTTGTGAGTTGAATGCACACAACACAAAGAAGTTTCTGAGAATGCTTCTGTCTAGTTTTTATGTGAAGATATTTCCTTTTACACCATAGGCCTCAAACTGCTCCAAATATCCACTTGTGGATCCTACAAAAAGACTATTTCAAAACTGCTCAATCAAAGGAAAGGTTCAACTCTGTGAGCTGAATGCACACAACACAAACAAGTTTCTGAGAATGCTGCTGTCTAGATTTTATGTGCGGATATTTCATTTTCCACCATAGGCATCAAAGCGCTCCAAATATCCAACCGCAGATTGTACAAAAATAGTGTTTCAAAACTGCTCTATCAAAAAAAAAGGTGCAACTCTGTGAGTTGAACGCACACATCACAAAGAAGTTTCAGAGAATGCTTCTGTCTAGTTTTTACGTGAAGATATTTCCTTTTACACCATAGGCCTCAAACCGCTCCAAATATCCACTTGCAGATTCCTGAAAAAGAGTGTTTTAAAACTCCTCTATCAACATAAATGTTCAACTCTGTGAGTTGAATGCACTCATCACAAAGATATTTCTGAGAATGCTTCCGCCTAGTTTTTATGTGTAGGTATTTCCTTTTCCTCCATAGGCCTCAAAGCACTCCAAATATCCACTTTCAGATTCTTGAAAAAGAGGGATTTAAAACTGCTCTATCAACAGAAAGGTTCGATTCTGTGAGTTGAATGCACTTATCACAAAGAAGTTTCTGAGAATGCTTCTGTCTAGTTTTTATGTGAAGATATTTCCTTTTCCACCATAAGCCTCAAAGCGCTCCAAATATCTACTTACAGATTCTACAAAAAGAGTTTCAAAACTGCTCTACAAAAGAAAGGTTCAACTCTGTGAGTTGAATTCACACATCACAAAGAAGTTTCAGAGAATGCTTCTGTCTAGTTTTTATGTGAAGATATTTCCTTTTACACCATAGGCCTCAAACCGCTCCAAATATCAACTTGCAGATTCTGCAAAAAGACTTTTTCAAAACTGCTCAATCAAAGGAAAGGTCAACTCTGTGAGTTGAATGCACACAACACAAACAAGTTTCTGAGAATGCTGCTGTCTAGATTTTATGTGCGGATATTTCCTTTTCTACCATAGGCATCAAAGCGCTCAAAATATCCAACTGCAGATTCTACAATAAGAGTGTTTCAAAACTGCTCTATCAAAGAAAGTTTCAACTCTGTGAGTTGAATGCACACATCATAAAGACGTTTCTGAGAATGCTTCTGCTCTGGTTTTTTTGTGAAGGTGTTTCCTTTTCCACCATAGGCCTCAAAGCGCTCCAAATATCCACTTGCAGATTCTTCAGAAAGAGTGTTTCAAAACTGCCCAATCATAGGAAAAGTTCAACTCTGTGAGTTGAATGCACACAACACAAAGAAGTTTCTGAGAATGCTTCTGTCTAGTTTGTATGTGAAGATATTTCCTTTTCCATCATAGGCTTCAATGTGCTTCAAATATCCACTTGTAGATTCTACAAAAAGACTTTTTCAAAACTGCTCAATCAAAGGAAAGGTTCAACTCTGTGAGTTGAATGCACACAACACAAACAAGTTTCTGAGAATGCTGCTGTCTAGATTTTATGTGCGGATATTTCGTTTTCCACCATAGGCATCAAAGCGCTCCAAATATCCAACCGCAGATTGTACAAAAATAGTGTTTCAAAACTGCTCTATCAAAAAAAAAGGTTCAACTCTGTGAGTTGAATGCACACATCACAAAGACGTTTCTGAGAATGCTTCTGCTCTAGTTTTTTTTGTGTAGGTGTTTCCTTTTCCACCATAGGCCTCAAAGCGCTCCAAATATCCACTTTCAGATTCCTGAAAAAGAGTGTTTTAAAACTCCTCTATGAACATAAATGTTCAACTCTGTGAGTTGAATGCACTCATCACAAAGATATTTCTGAGAATGCTTCCGCCTAGTTTTTATGTGTAGGTATTTCCTTTTCCACCATAGGCCTCAGAGCACTCCAAATATCCACTTTCAGATTCTAGAAAAAGAGTGATTTAAAACTGCTCTCTCAACAGAAAGGTTCGACTCTGTGAGTTGAATGCACTTATCACAAAGAAGTTTCTGAGAATGCTTCTGTCTAGTTTTTATGTGAAGATATTTCCTTTTCCACCATAAGCCTCAAAGCGCTCCAAATATCTACTTACAGATTCTACAAAAAGAGTTTCAAAACTGCTCTACAAAAGAAAGGTTCAACGCTGCGAGTTGAATTCACACATCACAAAGAAGTTTCAGAGAATGCTTCTGTCTAGTTTTTATGTGAAGATATTTCCTTTTACACCATAGGCCTCAAACCGCTCCAAATATCCACTTGCAGATTCTGCAAAAAGCCTTTTTCAAAACTGCTCAATCAAAGGAAAGGTCAACTCTGTGAGTTGAATGCACACAACACAAACAAGTTTCTGAGAATGCTGCTGTCTAGTTTTTATGGGCGGATATTTCCTTTTCCACCATATGCATCAAAGCGCTCCAAATATCCAACTGCAGATTCTACAAAAAGAGTGTTTCAAAACTGCTCTATCAAAGAAAGGTTCAACTCTGTGAGTTGAATGCACACATCACAAAGACGTTTCTGAGAATGCTTCTGCTCTAGTTTTTTTGTGAAGGTGTTTCCTTTTCCACCATAGGCCTCAAAGCGCTCCAAATATCCACTTGCAGATTCTTCAGAAAGAGTGTTTCAAAACTGCTCAATCATAGGAAAAGTTCAACTCTGTGAGTTGAATGCACACAACACAAAGAAGTTTCTGAGAATGCTTCTGTCTAGTTTTTATGTGAAGATATTTCCTTTTACACCATAGGCCTCAAACTGCTCCAAATATCCACTTGTGGATTCTACAAAAAGACTATTTCAAAACTGCTCAATCAAAGGAAAGGTTCAACTCTGTGAGCTGAATGCACACAACACAAACAAGTTTCTGAGAATGCTGCTGTCTAGATTTTATATGCGGATATTTCGTTTTCCACCATAGGCATCAAAGCGCTCCAAATATCCAACCGCAGATTGTACAAAAATAGTGTTTCAAAACTGCTCTATCCAAAAAAAAGGTTCAACTCTGTGAGTTGAATGCACACATCACAAAGAAGTTCCTGAGGATGCTTCTGCTCTAGTTTTTTTTGTGAAGGTGTTTCCTTTTCCACCATAGGCCTCAAAGCGCTCCAAATATCCACTTTCATATTCCCGAAAAAGTGTGTTTTAAAACTCCTCTATCAACATAAATGTTCAACTCTGTGAGGTGAATGCACTCATCACAAAGATATTTCTGAGAATGCTTCCGACTAGTTTTTATGTGTAGGTATTTCCTTTTCCACCATAGGCCTCAAAGCACTCCAAATATCCACTTTCAGATTCTAGAAAAAGAGTGATTTAAAACTGCTCTATCAACAGAAAGGTTCGACTGTGTGAGTTGAATGCACTTATCACAAAGAAGTTTCTGAGAATGCTTCTGTCTAGTTTTTATGTGAAGATATTTCCTTTTCCACCATAAGCCTCAAAGCGCTCCAAATATCTACTTACAGATTCTACAAAAAGAGTTTCAAAACTGCTCTACAAAAGAAAGGTTCAACTCTGTGAGTTGAATTCACACATCACAAAGAAGTTTCAGAGAATGCTTCTGTCTAGTTTTTATGTGAAGATATTTCCTTTTACACCATAGGCCTCAAACCGCTCCAAATATCCACTTGCAGATTCTGCAAAAAGACTTTTTCAAAACTGCTCAATCAAAGGAAAGGTCAACTCTGTGAGTTGAATGCACACAACACAAACAAGTTTCTGAGAATGCTGCTGTCTAGTTTTTATGTGCGGATATTTCCTTTTCCACCATAGGCATCAAAGTGCTCCAAATATCCAACTGCAGATTCTACAAAAAGAGTGTTTCAAAACTGCTCTATCAAAGAAAGGTTCAACTCTGTGAGTTGAATTCACACATCACAAAGACGTTTCTGAGAATGCTTCTGCTCTAGTTTTTTTGTGAAGGTGTTTCCTTTTCCACCATAGGCCTCAAAGCGCTCCAAATATCCACTTGCAGATTCTTCAGAAAGAGTGTTTCAAAACTGCTCAATCATAGGAAAAGTTCAACTCTGTGAGTTGAATGCACACAACACAAAGAAGTTTCTGAGAATGCTTCTGTCTAGTTTTTATGTGAAGATATTTCCTTTTACACCATAGGCCTCAAACTGTTCCAAATCTCCACTTGTGGATTCTACAAAAAGACTATTTCAAAACTGCTCAATCAAAGGAAAGGTTCAACTCTGTGAGCTGAATGCACACAACACAAACAAGTTTCTGAGAATGCTGCTGTCTAGATTTTATGTGCGGATATTTCGTTTTCCACCATAGGCAACAAAGCGCTCCAATTATCCAACCACAGATTGTACAAAAATAGTGTTTCAAAACTGCTCTATCAAATAAAAAGGTTCAACTCTGTGAGTTGAATGCACACATCACAAAGAAGTTTCTGAGAATGCTTCTGCTCTAGTTTTTTTTGTGAAGGTGTTTCCTTTTCCACCATAGGCCTCAAAGCGCTCCAAATATCCAGTTTCATATTCCTGAAAAAGAGTGTTTTAAAACTCCTCTATCAACATAAATGTTCAACTCTGTGAGTTGAATGCACTCATCACAAAGATATTTCTGAGAATGCTTCGGCCTAGTTTTTATGTGTAGGTATTTCCTTTTCCACCATAGGCCACAAAGCACTCCAAATATCCACTTTCAGATACTAGAAAAAGAGTGGTTTAAAATTGGTCTATCACCAGAAAGGTTCGACTCTGTGAGTTGAATGCACTTATCACAAAGAAGTTTCTGAGCATGCTTCTGTCTAGTTTTTATGTGAAGATATTTCCTTTTCCACATTAAGCCACAAAGCGCTCCAAATATCTACTTACAGATTCTACAAAAAGAGTTTCAAAACTGCTCTACAAAAGAAAGGTTCTACTCTGTGAGTTGAATTCACACATCACAAAGAAGTTTCAGAGAATGCTTCTGTCTAGTTTTTATGTGAAGATATTTCCTTTTACACCATAGGCCTCAAACCGCTCCAAATATCCACTTGCAGATTCTGCAAAAAGACTTTTTCAAAACTGCTCAATCAAAGGAAAGGTCAACTCTGTGAGTTGAATGCACACAACACAAAAAGTTTCTGAGAATGCTGCTGTCTAGTTTTTATGTGCGGATATTTCCTTTTCCACCATAGGCATCAAAGCGCTCCAAATATCCAACTGCAGATTCTACAAAAAGAGTGTTTCAAAACTGCTCTATCAAAGAAAGGTTCAACTCTGTAAGTTGAATGCACACATCACAAAGACGTTTCTGAGAATGCTTCTGCTCTAGTTTTTTTGTGAAGGTGTTTCCTTTTCCACCATAGGCTTCAAAGCGCTCCAAATATCCACTTGCAGATTCTTCAGAAAGAGTGTTTCAAAACTGCTCAATCATAGGAAAAGTTCAACTCTGTGAGTTGAATGCACACAACACAAAGAAGTTTCTGAGAATGCTTCCGTCTAGTTTTTATGTGAAGATATTTCCTGTTACACCATAGGCCTCAAACTGCTCCAAATATCCACTTGTGGATTCTACAAAAAGACTTTTTCAAAACTGCTCAATCAAAGGAAAGGTTCAACTCTGTGAGTTGAATGCACACAACACAAACAAGTTTCTGAGAATGCTGCTGTCTAGATTTTATGTGCGGATATTTCGTTTTCCACCATAGGCATCAAAGCGCTCCAAATATCCAACCGCAGATTGTACAAAAATAGTGTTTCAAAACTGCTCTATCAAATAAAAAGGTTCAACACTGTGAGTTGAATGCACACATCACAACGAAGTTTCTGAGAATGCTTCTGCTCTAGTTTTTTTTGTGAATGTGTTTCCTTTTCCACCATAGGCCTCAAAGCGCTCCAAATATCCACTTTCAGATTCCTGAAAAAGAGTGTTTTAAAACTCCTCTATCAACATAAATGTTCAACTCTGTGAGTTGAATGCACTCATCACAAAGATATTTCTGAGAATGCTTCCGCCTAGTTTTTATGTGTAGGTATTTCCTTTTCCACCATAGGCCTCAGAGCACTCCAAATATCCACTTTCAGATTCTAGAAAAAGAGTGATTTAAAACTGCTCTCTCAACAGAAAGGTTCGACTCTGTGAGTTGAATGCACTTATCACAAAGAAGTTTCTGAGAATGCTTCTGTCTAGTTTTTATGTGAAGATATTTCCTTTTCCACCATAAGCCTCAAAGCGCTCCAAATATCTACTTACAGATTCTACAAAAAGAGTTTCAAAACTGCTCTACAAAAGAAAGGTTCAACTCTGTGAGTTGAATTCACACATCACAAAGAAGTTTCAGAGAATGCTTCTGTCTAGTTTTTATGTGAAGATATTTCCTTTTACACCATAGGCCTCAAACCGCTCCAAATATCCACTTGCAGATTCTGCAAAAAGACTTTTTCAAAACTGCTCAATCAAAGGAAAGCTCAACTCTGTGAGTTGAATGCACACAACACAAACAAGTTTCTGAGAATGCTGCTGTCTACTTTTTATGTGCGGATATTTCCTTTTCCACCATAGGCATCAAAGCGCTCCAAATATCCAACTGCAGATTCTACAAAAAGAGTGTTTCAAAACTGCTCTATCAAAGAAAGGTTCAACTCTGTGAGTTGAATGCACACATCACAAAGACGTTTCTGAGAATGCTTCTGCTCTAGTTTTTTTGTGAAGGTGTTTCCTTTTCCACCACAGGCCTCAAAGCGCTCCAAATATCCACTTGCAGATTCTCCAGAAAGAGTGTTTCAAAACTGCTCAATCATAGGAAAAGCTCAACTCTGTGAGTTGAATGCACACAACACAAAGAAGTTTCTGAGAATGCTTCTGTCTAGTTTTTATGTGAAGATATTTCCTTTTACACCATAGGCCTCAAACTGCTCCAAATATCCACTTGTGGATTCTACAAAAAGACTTTTTCAAAACTTGTCAATCAAAGGGAAGGTTCAACTCTGTGAGTTGAATGCACACAACACAAACAAGTTTCTGAGAATGCTGCTGTCTAGATTTTATGTGCGGATATTTCATTTTACACCATAGGCATCAAAGCGCTCCAAATATCCAACCGCAGATTGTACAAAAATAGTGTTTCAAAACTGCTCTATCCAAAAAAAAGATTCAACTCTGTGAGTTGAATGCACACATCACAAAGAAGTTTCTGAGAATGCTTCTGCTCTAGTTTTTTTTGTGAAGGTGTTTCCTTTTCCACCATAGGCCTCAAAGCGCTCCAAATATCCACTTTCAGTTTCCTGAAAAAGAGTGTTTTAGAACTCCTCTATCAACATAAATGTTCAACTCTGTGAGTTGAATGCACTCATCACAAAGATATTTCTGAGAATGCTTCCGCCTAGTTTTTATGTGTAGGTATTTCCTTTTCCACCATAGGCCCCAAAGCACTCCAAATATCCACTTTCAGATTCTAGAAAAAGAGTGATTTAAAACTGCTCTATCAACAGAAAGGTTCGACTCTCTGAGTTGAGTGCACTTATCACAAAGAAGTTTCTGAGAATGCTTCTGTCTAGTTTTTATGTGAAGATATTTCCTTTTCCACCATAAGCCTCAAAGCACTCCAAATATCTACTTACAGATTCTACAAAAAGAGTTTCAAAACTGCTCTACAAAAGAAAGGTTCAACTCTGTGAGTTGAATTCACACATCACAAAGAAGTTTCAGAGAATGCTCTGTCTAGTTTTTATGTGAAGATATTTCCTTTTACACCATAGGCCTCAAACCGCTCCAAATATCAACTTGCAGATTCTGCAAAAAGACTTTTTCAAAACTGCTCAATCAAAGGAAAGGTCAACTCTGTGAGTTGAATGCACACAACACAAACAAGTTTCTGAGAATGCTGTCTGTCTAGTTTTTATGTGAAGATATTTCCTTTTCCACCATAGGCCTCAAAGTGCTCCAAGTATTCACTTGTAGATACTACAAAAAGACTGTTTCAAAATTGCTCAATCAAAGGAAAGGTTCAACTCTGTAAGCTGAATGCACACAACACAAACAAGTTTCTGAGAATGCTTCTGTCTAGTTTTTATGTGAGAATATTTCCTTTCCCACCATAGGCCTCAAAGCGCTCTTAATATCCACTTGCAGATTCCACAAAAAGAGTGTTTCAAAACTGCTCTAACAAAACAAAGGTTCATCTTTGTGAGATGAATGAACACATCAGAAAGAAGTTTCTAAGAATGTTTCTGCTCTACTTTTTATGTGAAGGTGTTTCCTTTTCCACCATAGGCCTCAAAGCACTCCAAATATCCACTTGCAGATTCTACAAAAAGAGTGTTTCAAAACTGCTCAATCAAAGGAAAATTTCAACTCTGTGAGTTGAATACACACAACACAAAGAAGTTTCTGAGAATGCTTCTGTCTAGTTTTTATATGATGATATTTCCTTTTCCACCATAGGCCTCAGAGCACTCCAAATATCTACTTGCAGATCCTACAAAAAGAGTGTTTCAAAACTGCTCTATCAAAAGAAAGGTTCAGCTCTGTGCGTTGAATTCACTCATCACAAAGAAGTTTCGGAGAATGCTTCTGTCTAGTTTCTATGTGAAGATATTTCCTTTTACACCATAGGCCTCAAAGGCTCCAAATATCCACTTGCAGATTCTGCAAAAGGACTTTTTCAAAACTGCTCAATCAAAGGAAAGTTTCAACTCTGTTAGATGAATGCACACAACACAAACAAGTTTCTGAGAATGCTGCTGTCTAGTTTTTATGTGCGGATATTTCCTTTTCCACCATAGGCATCAAAGCGCTCCAAATATCCAACTGCAGATTCTACAAAAAGAGTGTTTCAAAACTGCTCTATCAAAGAAAGTTTCAACTCTGTGAGTTGAATGCACACATCACAAAGACGTTTCTGAGAATGCTTCTGCTCTAGTTTTTTTGTGAAGGTGTTTCCTTTTCCACCATAGGCCTCAAAGCGCTCCAAATATCCACTTGCAGATTCTTCAGAAAGAGTGTTTCAAAACTGCTCAATCATAGGAAAAGTTCAACTCTGTGAGTTGAATGCACACAACACAAAGAAGTTTCTGAGAATGCTTCTGTCTAGTTTTTATGTGAAGATATTTCCTTTTACACCATAGGCCTCAAACTGCTCCAAATATCCACTTGTGGATTCTACAAAAAGACTTTTTCAAAACTGCTCAATCAAAGGAAAGGTTCAACTCTGTGAGCTGAATGCACACAACACAAACAAGTTTCTGAGAATGTTGCTGTCTAGATTTTATGTGCGGATATTTCGTTTTCCACCATAGGCATCAAAGCGCTCCAAATATCCAACCGCAGATTGTACAAAAATAGTGTTTCAAAACTGCTCTATCAAATAAAAAGGTTCAACTCTGTGAGTTGAATGCACACATCACAACGAAGTTTCTGAGAATGCTTCTGCTCTAGTTTTTTTTGTGAAGGTGTTTCCTTTTCCACCATAGGCCTCAAAGCGCTCCAAATATCCACTTTCAGATTCCCGAAAAAGAGTGTTTTAAAACTCCTCTATCAACATAAATGTTCAACTCTGTGAGTTGAATGCACTCATCACAAAGATATTTCTGAGAATGCTTCCGCCTAGTTTTTATGTGTAGGTATTTCCTTTTCCACCATAAGCCTCAAAGCGCTCCAAATATCTACTTACACATTCTACAAAAAGAGTTTCAAAACTACTCTACAAAAGAAAGGTTCAACTCTGTGAGTTGAATTCACACATCACAAAGAAGTTTCAGAGAATGCTTCTGTCTAGTTTTTATGTGAAGATATTTCCTTTTCCAACATAAGCCTCAAAGCGCTCCAAATATCTACTTACAGATTCTACAAAAAGAGTTTCAAAACTGCTCTACAAAAGAAAGGTTCAACTCTGTGAGTTGAATTCACACATCACAAAGAAGTTTCAGAGAATGCTTCTGTCTAGTTTTTATGTGAAGATATTTCCTTTTACACCACAGGCCTCAAACCGCTCCAAATATCCACTTGCAGATTCTGCAAAAAGACTTTTTCAAAACTGCTCAATCAAAGGAAAGCTCAACTCTGTGAGTTGAATGCACCCAACACAAACAAGTTTCTGAGAATGCTGCTGTCTAGTTTTTATGTGCGGATACTTCCTTTTCCACCATAGGCATCAAAGCGCTCCATACATCCAACTGCAGATTCTACAAAAAGAGTGTTTCAAAACTGCTCTATCAAAGAAAGGTTCAACTATGTGAGTTGAATTCACAGATCACAAAGACGTTTCTGAGAATGCTTCTGCTCTAGTTTTTTTGTGAAGGTGTTTCCTTTTCCACCATAGGCCTCAAAGCGCTCCAAATATCCACTTGCAGATTCTTCAGAAAGAGTGTTTCAAAACTGCTCAATCATAGGAAAAGTTCAACTCTGTGAGTTGAATGCACACAACACAAAGAAGTTTCTGAGAATGCTTCTGTCTAGTTTTTATGTGAAGATATTTCCTTTTACACCATAGGCCTCAAACTGCTCCAAATATCCACTTGTGGATTCTACAAAAAGACTTTTTCAAAACTGCTCAATCAAAGGAAAGGTTCAACTCTGTGAGTTGAATGCACACAACACAAACAAGTTTCTGAGAATGCTGCTGTCTAGATTTTATGTGCGGATATTTCGTTTTCCACCATAGGCATCAAAGCGCTCCAAATATCCAACCGCAGATTGTACAAAAATAGTGTTTCAAAACTGCTCTATCAAAAAAAAAAGGTTCAACTCTGTGAGTTGAATGCACACATCACAAAGAAGTTCCTGAGAATGCTTCTGCTCTAGTTTTTTTTGTGAAGGTGTTTCCTTTCCCACCATAGGCCTCAAAGCGCTCCAAATATCCACTTTCAAATTCCTGAAAAAGAGTGTTTTAAAACTCCTCTATCAACATAAATGTTCAACTCTGTGAGTTGAATGCACTCATCACAAAGATATTTCTGAGAATGCTTCTGTCTAGTTTTTATGTGAAGATATTTCCTTTTCCAACATAGGCCTCAAAGCACTCCAAATATCCACTTTCGGATTCCAGAAACAGAGTGTTTTAAAACTGCTCTATCAACAGAAAGGTCCAACTCTGTGAGTTGAATGCACTCATCACAAAGAAGTTTCTGAGAATGCTTCTGTCTAGTTTTTATGTGAAGATATTTCCTTTTCCACCATAAGCCTCAAAGCGCTCCAAATATCTACTTACAGATTCTACAAAAAGAGTTTCAAAACTGCTCTACAAAAGAAAGGTTCAACTCTGTGAGTTGAATTCACACATCACAAAGAAGTTTCAGAGAATGCTTCTGTCTAGTTTTTATGTGAAGATATTTCCTTTTACACCATAGGCCTCAAACCGCTCCAAATATCCACTTGCAGATTCTGCAAAAAGACTTTTTCAAAACTGCTCAATCAAAGGAAAGGTCAACTCTGTGAGTTGAATGCACACAACACAAACAAGTTTCTGAGAATGCTGCTGTCTAGTTTTTATGTGCGGATATTTCCTTTTCCACCATAGGCATCAAAGAGCTCCAAATATCCAATTGCAGATTCTACAAAAAGAGTGTTTCAAAACTGCTCTATCAAAGAAAGGTTCAACTCTGTGAGTTGAATGCACACATCACAAAGAAGTTTCTGAGAATGCTCTGCTCTAGTTTTTTTGTGAAGGTGTTTCCTTTTCCACCGTAGGCCTCAAAGCGCTCCAAATATCCACTTGCAGATTCTTCAGAAAGAGTGTTTCAAAACTGCTCAATCATAGGAAACGTTCAACTCTGTGAGTTCAATGCACACAACACAAAGAAGTTTCTGAGAATGCTTTCTGTCTAGTTTTTATGTGAAGATATTTCCTTTTACACCATAGGCCTCAAACTGCTCCAAATATCCACTTGTGGATTCTACAAAAAGACTTTTTCAAAACTGCTCAATCAAAGGAAAAGTTCAACTCTGTGAGTTGAATGCACACAACACAAAGAAGTTTCTGAGAATGCTGCTGTCTAGATTTTATGTGCGGATATTTCGTTTTCCACCATAGGCATCAAAGCGCTCCAAATATCCAACCGCAGATTGTACAAAAATAGTGTTTCAAAACTGCTCTATCAAAAAAAAAGGTTCAACTCTGTGAGTTGAATGCACACATCACAAAGAAGTTCCTGAGAATGCTTCTGCTCTAGTTTTTTTTGTGAATGTGTTTCCTTTTCCACCATAGGCCTCAAAGCGCTCCAAATATCCACTTTCAGATTCCTGAAAAAGAGTGTTTTAAAACTCCTCTATCAACATAAATGTTCAACTCTGTGAGTTGAATGCACTCATCACAAAGATATTTCTGAGAATGCTTCCGCATAGTTTTTATGTGTAGGTATTTCCTTTTCCACCATAGCCCTCAAAGCACTCCAAATATCCACTTTCAGATTCTAGAAAAAGAGTGATTTAAAACTGCTCTATCCACAGAAAGGTTCGACTCTGTGAGTTGAATGCACTTATCACAAAGAAGTTTCTGAGAATGCTTCTGTCTAGTTTTTATGTGAAGATATTTCCTTTTCCACCATAAGCCTCAAAGCGCTCCAAATATCTACTTACACATTCTACAAAAAGAGTTTCAAAACTGCTCTACAAAAGAAAGGTTCAACTCTGTGAGGTTGAATTCACACATCACAAAGAAGTTTCAGAGAATGCTTCTGTCTACTTTTTATGTGAAGATATTTCCTTTTACACCATAGGCCTCAAACCGCTCCAAATATCCACTTGCAGATTCTGCAAAAAGACATTTTCAAAACTGCTCAATCAAAGGAAAGGTCAACTCTGTGAGTTGAATGCACACAACACAAACAAGTTTCTGAGAATGCTGCTGTCTAGTTTTTATGTGCGGATATTTCCTTTTCCACCATAGGCATCAAAGCGCTCCAAATATCCAACTGCAGATTCTACAAAAAGAGTGTTTCAAAACTGCTCTATCAAAGAAAGGTTCAACTCTGTGATTTGAATGCACACATCACAAAGACGTTTCTGAGAATGCTTCTGCTCTAGTTTTTTTGTGAAGGTGTTTCCTTTTCCACCGTAGGCCTCAAAGCGCTCCAAATATCCACTTGCAGATTCTTCAGAAAGAGTGTTTCAAAACTGCTCAATCATAGGAAACGTTCAACTCTGGGAGTTCAATGCACACAACACAAAGAAGTTTCTGAGAATGCT
>NC_000020.11:29917404-29978428 GCF_000001405.40 Homo sapiens | reverse complement strand
ATGTGACATGCTGGTGCACTGCACCCCAATAACTCGTCATCTAACATTAGGTATATCTCCCAATGCTATCCCAACACCCTCCCCCGACCCCACAACAGTCCCCGGAGTGTGATATTCCTCTTCCTGTGTCCATGTGATCTCATTGTTCAATTCCCACCTATGAGTGAGAATATGCGGTGTTTGGTTTTTTGTTCTTGCGATAGTTTACTGAGAATGATGATTTCCAATTTCATCCATGTCCCTGCAAAGGACATGAACTTATCATTTTTTATGGCTGCATAGTATTCCATGGTGTATATGTGCGGCATTATTCACAATAGCAAAGACTTGGAACTAAACCAAATGTCTAACAATGATAGACTGGATTAAGAAAATGTGGCACATATGAACTTTCTTTTTCATAGAGCAGTTTTGAAACACTCTTTTTGTAGAATCTGCAAGTGGACATTTGGAGCACTTTGAGGTATATGGTAGAAAAGGAAATATCTTCATATAAAAACTAGACAGAGCTGTCTAGATTTTATGTGCGGATATTTCGTTTTCCACCATAGGCATCAAAGCGCTCCAAATATCCAACCACAGATTGTACAAAAATAGTGTTTCAAAACTGCTCTATCAAATAAAAAGTTTCAACTCTGTGAGTTGAATGCACACATCACAACGAAGTTTCTGAGAATGCTTCTGCTCTAGTTTTTTTTGTGAAGTTGTTTCCTTTTCCACCATAGGCCTCAAAGCGCTCCAAATATCCACTTTCAGATTCCTGAAAAAGAGTGTTTTAAAACTCCTCTATCAACATAAGTGTTCAACTCTGTGAGTTGAATGCACTCATCACAAAGATATTTCAGAGAATGCTTCCGCCTAGTTTTTATGTGTAGGTATTTCCTTTTCCACCATAGGCCTCAAAGCACTCCAAATATCCACTTTCAGATTCTAGAAAAAGTGTGATTTAAAACTGCTCTATCAACAGAAAGGTTCGACTCTGTGAGTTGAATGCACTTATCACAAAGAAGTTTCTGAGAATGCTTCTGTCTAGTTTTTATGTGAAGATATTTCCTTTTCCACCATAGGCATCAAAGCACTCCAAATATCCACTTGCAGATACTACAAAAAGACTGTTTCAAAACTACCTTGTCAAAAGGAAGGTTCAACTCTGTGAGTTGAATGCACACATCACAAAGAAGTTTCAGAGAATGCTTCTGTCTAGTTTTTATGTGAAGATATTTCCTTTTACACCATAGGCCTCAAACCGCTCCAAATATCCACTTGCAGATTCTGCAAAAAGACTTTTTCAAAACTGCTCAATCAAAGGAAAGCTCAACTCTGTGAGTTGAATGCACACAACACAAACAAGTTTCTGAGAATGCTGCTGTCTAGTTTTTATGGGCGGATATTTCCTTTTCCACCATAGGCATCAAAGCGCTCCAAATATCCAACTGCAGATTCTACAAAAAGAGTGTTTCAAAACTGCTCTATCAAAGAAAGGTTCAACTCTGTGAGTTGAATGCACACATCACAAAGACGTTTCTGAGAATGCTTCTGCTCTAGTTTTTTTGTGAAGGTGTTTCCTTTTCCACCATAGGCCTGAAAGCGTTCCAAATATCCACTTGCAGATACTTCAGAAAGAGTGTTTCAAAACTGCTCAATCATAGGAAAAGTTCAACTCTGTGAGTTGAATGCACACACCACAAAGAAGTTTCTGAGAATGCTTCTGTCTAGTTTTTATGTGAAGATATTTCCTTTTACACCATAGGCCTCAAACTGCTCCAAATATCCACTTGTGGATTCTACAAAAAGACTTTTTCAAAACTGCTCAATCAAAGGAAAGGTTCAACTCTGTGAGTTGAATGCACACAACACAAACAAGTTTCTGAGAATGTTGCTGTCTAGATTTTATGTGCGGATATTTCGTTTTCCACCATAGGCATCAAAGCGCTCCAAATATCCAACTGCAGATTGTACAAAAATAGTGTTTCACAACTGCTATATCAAAAAAAAAGATTCAAGTCTGTGAGTTGAATGCTCACATCACAAAGAACTTTCTGAGAATGCTTCTGCTCTAGTTTTTTTTTGTGATGGTGTTTCCTTTTCCACCATAGGCCTCAAAGCGCTCCAAATATCCACTTTCAGATTCCTGAAAGAGTGTTTTAAAACTCCTCTATCAACATAAATGTTCAACTCTGTGAGTTGAATGCACTCATCACAAAGATATTTCTGAGAATGCTTCCGCCTAGTTTTTATGTGTAGGTATTTCCTTTTCCACCATGAGCCTCAAAGCACTCCAAATATCCACTTTCAGATTCTAGAAAAAGAGTGATTTAAAACTGCTCTATCAACAGAAATGTTCGACTCTGTGGGTTGAATGCACTTATCACAAAGAAGTTTCTGAGAATGCTTCTGTCTAGTTTTTATGTGAAGATATTTCCTTTTCCACCATAAGCCTCAAAGCGCTCCAAATATCTACTTACACATTCTACAAAAAGAGTTTCAAAACTGCTCTACAAAAGAAAGGTTCAACTCTGTGAGGTTGAATTCACACATCACAAAGAAGTTTCAGAGAATGCTTCTGTCTAGTTTTTATGTGAAGATATTTCCTTTTCCAACATAGGCCTCAAAGCGCTCCAAATATCCACTTTCGGATTCCAGAAACAGAGTGTTTTAAAACTGCTCTATCAACAGAAATGTCCAACTCTGTGAGTTGAATGCACTCATCACAAAGAAGTTTCTGAGAATTTTGCTGTCTAGTTTTTATGTGCGGATATTTCCTTTTCCACCATAGGCATCAAAGCGCTCCAAATATCCAACTGCAGATTCCACAAAAAGAGTGTTTCAAAACTGCTCTATCAAAGAATGTGTCAACTCTGTGAGTTGAATGCACACATCATAAAGACGTTTCTGAGAATGCTTCTGCTCTAGTTTTTTTGTGAAGGTGTTTCCTTTTCCACCATAGGCCTCAAAGCGCTCCAAATATCCACTTACAGATTCTTCAGAAAGAGTGTTTCAACACTGCTCAATCATAGGAAAAGTTCAACTCTGTGAGTTGAATGCACACAACACAAAGAAGTTTCTGAGAATGCTTCTGTCTAGTTTTTATGTGAAGATATTTCCTTTTACACCATAGGCCTCAAACTGCTCCAAATATCCACTTGTGGATTCTACAAAAAGACTTTTTCAAAACTGCTCAATCAAAGGAAAAGTTCAACTATGTGAGTTGAATGCACACAACACAAACAAGTTTCTGAGAATGCTGCTGTCTAGATTTTATGTGCGGATATTTCGTTTTCCACCATAGGCATCAAAGAGCTCCAAATATCCAACCGCAGATTGTACAAAAATAGTGTTTCAAAACTGCTCTATCAAAAAAAAAGATTCAACTCTGTGAGTTGAATGCACACATCACAAAGAAGTTTCTGAGAATGCTTCTGCTCTAGTTTTTTTTGTGAAGGTGTTTCCTTTTCCACCATAGGCCTCAAAGCGCTACAAATATCCACTTGCAGATTCCGGAAAAAGAGTGTTTTAAAACTCCTCTATCAACATAAATGTTCAACTCTTTGAGTTGAATGCACTCATCACAAAGATATTTCTGAGAATGCTTCCGCCTAGTTTTTATGTGTAGGCATTTCCTTTTCCACCATAGGCCTCAGAGCACTCCAAATATCCACTTTCAGATCCTAGAAAAAGAGTGATTTAAAACTGCTCTATCAACAGAAAGGTTCGACTCTGTGAGTTGAATGAACTTATCACAAAGAAGTTTCTGAGAATGCTTCTGTCTAGTTTTTATGTGAAGATATTTCCTTTTCCACCATAAGCCTCAAAGCGCTCCAAATATCTATTTACAGATTCTACAAAAAGAGTTTGAAAACTGCTCTACAAAAGAAAGGTTCAACTCCGTGAGTTAAATTCACACATCACAAAGAAGTTTCAGAGAATGCTTCTGTCTAGTTTTTATGTGAAGATATTTCCTTTTACACCATAGGCCTCAAACTGCTCCAAATATCCACTTGCAGATTCTGCAAAAAGACTTTTTCAAAACTGCTCAATCAAAGGAAAGGTTCAACTCTGTGAGTTGAATGCACACAATACAAACAAGTTTCTGAGAATGTTGCTGTCTAGTTTTTATGTGCGGATATTTCCTTTTCCACCATAGGCGTCAAAGCGCTCCAAATATCCAACTGCAGATTCTTCAGAAAGAGTGTTTCAAAACTGCTCAATCATAGGAAAAGTTCCACTCTGTGAGTTGAATGCACACAACACAAAGAAGTTTCTGAGAATGCTTCTGCTCTAGTTTTTTTGTGAAGGTGTTTCCTTTTCCACCATAGGCCTCAAAGCGCTCCAAATATCCACTTGCAGATTCTTCAGAAAGAGTGTTTCAAAACTGCTAAATCATAGGAAAAGTTCAACTCTGTGAGTTGAATGCACACAACACAAAGAAGTTTCTGAGAATGCTTCTGTCTAGTTTTTATGTGAAGATATTTCCTTTTACACCATAGGCCTCAAACTGCTCCAAATATCCACTTGTGGATTCTACAAAAAGACTTTTTCAAAACTGCTCAATCAAAGGAAAGGTTCAACTCTGTGAGTTGAATGCACACAACACAAACAAGTTTCTGAGAATGTTGCTGTCTAGATTTTATGTGCGGATATTTCGTTTTCCACCATAGGCATCAAAGCGCTCCAAATATCCAACCGCAGATTGTACAAAAACAGTGTTTCAAAACTGCTCTATCAAAAAAAAAGGTTCAAATCTGTGAGTTGAATGCACACATCACAAAGAAGTTTCTGAGAATGCTTCTGCTCTAGTTTTTTTTGTGAAGGTGTTTCCTTTTCCACCATAGGCCTCAAAGCGCTCCAAATATCCACTTTCAGATTCCTGAAAAAGAGTGTTTTAAAACTCCTCTATCAACATAAATGTTCAACTCTGTGAGTTGAATGCACTCATCACAAAGATATTTCTGAGAATGCTTCTCTCTAGTTTTTATGTGAAGATATTTCCTTTACCACCATAGGCCTCAAAGCGCTCCAAATATGCACTTGCAGATTCTAAAAAAAGAGTGTTTCAAAACTGCTCTATCAAAAGGAAGGTTCAACTCTCTGAGTTGAATGGACTTACCACCAAGAAGTTTCTGAGAATGCATCTGTCCAGTTTTTATGTGAAGATATTTCCTTTTCTGCCAAAGGCCTCAAATCCACCAAATATCCACTTGCAGATTCTACAGAAAGAGTGTTTCAAAACTGATCTATGAACAGAAAGTACCAGCTCTGTGAGTTGAATGCACACATCTCAAAGAAGTTTCTGAGAATGCTCTGTCTAGTTTTTATGTGATGATATTTCCTTTTATACCATAGGCCTCAAACCGCTCCAAATATCCACTTGCAGATTCTGCAAAAAGACTTTTTCAAAACTGCTCAATCAAAGGAAAGGTCAACTCTGTGAGTTGAATGCACACAACACAAACAAGTTTCTGAGAATGCTTCTGTCTAGTTTTTATGTGAAGATATTTTCTTTTCCACCATAGGCCACAAAGCGCTCCAAATATCCACTTGCATTTTCTAAAAAAAAGAAGTGTTTCCAAAATGCTCTTCTAAACAATGGTTCAACACTGTTATTTAATGCACACGTCACAAGGAAGTTTCTGAGAATGCTTCTGTCTAGTTTTTATATGAAGACATTTCCTCTTCTCCCGTAGTCATCGAAGCACTCCAAATATCCACCTACAGATTCTAGAAAAAGAGTGTTTCAAAACTGCCCAATCAAAGAAAAGTTTAAACTCTGTGGGTTGAATACAAACAACACAAGGAATTTTCTGAGAATCCTTCTGTCTAGTTTTTATGTGAAGATATTTCCTTTTACACCATAGGCCTCAAACTGCTCCAAATATCCACTTGTGGATTCTACAAAAAGACTTTTTCAAAACTGCTCAATCAAAGGAAAGGTTCAACTCTGTGAGTTGAATGCACACAACACAAACAAGTTTCTGAGAATGCTGCTGTCTAGATTTTATGTGCGGATATTTCGTTTTCCACCATAGGCATCAAAGCCCTCCAACTATCCAACCGCAGATTGTACAAAAATAGTGTTTCAAAACTGCTCTATCAAAAAAAAAGGTTCAACTCTGTGAGTTGAATGCACACATCACAAAGAAGTTTCTGAGAATGCTTCTGCTCTAGTTTTTTTTGTGAAGGTGTTTCCTTTTCCACCATAGGCCTCAAAGCGCTCCAAATATCCACTTTCAGATTCCTGAAAAAGAGTGTTTTAAAACTCCTCTATCAACATAAATGTTCAACTCCTTGAGTTCAATGCACTCATCACAAAGATATTTCTGAGAATGCTTCCGCCTAGTTTTTATGTGTAGGTATTTCCTTTTCCACCATAGGCCTCACAGCACTCCAAATATCCACTTTCAGATTCTAGAAAAAGAGTGATTTAAAACTGCTCTATCAACAGAAAGGTTCGACTCTGTGAGTTGAATGCACTTATCACAAAGAAGTTTCTGAGAATGCTTCTGTCTAGTTTTTATGTGAAGATATTTCCTTTTCCACCATAAGCCTCAAAGCGCTCCAAATATCTACTTACAGATTCTACAAAAAGAGTTTCAAAACTGCTCTACAGAAGAAAGGTTCAACTCTGTGAGTTGAATTCACACATCACAAAGAAGTTTCAGAGAATGCTTCTGTCTAGTTTTTATGTGAAGATATTTCCTTTTACACCATAGGCCTCAAACCGCTCCAAATATCCACTTGCAGATTCTGCAAAAAGACTTTTTCAAAACTGCTCAATCAAAGGAAAGGTCAACTCTGTGAGTTGAATGCACACAACACAAACAAGTTTCTGAGAATGCTGCTGTCTAGTTTTTATGTGCGGATATTTCCTTTTCCACCATAGGCATCAAAGCCCTCCAAATATCCAACTGCAGATTCTACAAAAAGAGTGTTTCAAAACTGCTCTATCAAAGAAAGGTTCAACTCTGTGAGTTGAATGCACACATCACAAAGACGTTTCTGAGAATGCTTCTGCTCTAGTTTTTTTGTGAAGGTGTTTCCTTTTCCACCATAGGCCTCAAAGCGCTCCAAATATCCACTTGCAGATTCTTCAGAAAGAGTGTTTCAAAACTGCTCAATCATAGGAAAAGTTCAACTCTGTGAGTTGAATGCACACAACACAAAGAAGTTTCTGAGAATGCTTCTGTCTAGTTTTTATGTGAAGATATTTCCTTTTACACCATAGGCCTCAAACTGCTCCAAATATCCACTTGTGGATTCTACAAAAAGACTTTTTCATAACTGCTCAATCAAAGGAAAGGTTCAACTCTGTGAGCTGAATGCACACAACACAAACAAGTTTCTGAGAATGCTGCTGTCTAGATTTTATGTGCGGATATTTCGTTTTCCACCATAGGCATCAAAGCGCTCCAAATATCCAACCGCAGATTGTACAAAAATAGTGTTTCAAAACTGCTCTATCAAAAAAAAAGGTTCAACTCTGTGAGTTGAATGCACACATCACAAAGAAGTTCCTGAGAATGCTTCTGCTCTAGTTTTTTTTGTGAAGGTGTTTCCTTTTCCACCATAGGCCTCAAAGCGCTCCAAATATCCACTTTCAGATTCCTGAAAAAGAGTGTTTTAAAACTCCTCTATCAACATAAGTGTTCAACTCTGTGAGTTGAATGCACTCATCACAAGGATATCTCTGAGAATGCTTCCGCCTGGTTTTTATGTGTAGGTATTTCCTTTTCCACCATAGACCTCAGAGCACTCCAAATATCCACTTTCAGATTCTAGAAAAAGAGTGATTTAAAACTGCTCTATCAACAGAAAGGTTCGACTCTGTGAGTTGAATGCACTTATCACAAAGAAGTTTCTGAGAATGCTTCTGTCTAGTTTTTATGTGAAGATATTTCCTTTTCCAACATAAGCCTCAAAGCGCTCCAAATATCTACTTACAGATTCTACAAAAAGAGTTTCAAAACTGCTCTACAAAAAAAGGTTCAACTCTGTGAGTTGAATTCACACATCACAAAGAAGTTTCAGAGAATGCTACTGTCTAGTTTTTATGTGAAGATATTTCCTTTTACACCATAGGCCTCAAACCGCTCCAAATATCCACTTGCAGATTCTGCAAAAAGACATTTTCAAAACTGCTCAATCAAAGGAAAGCTCAACTCTGTGAGTTGAATGCACACAACACAAACAAGTTTCTGAGAATGCTGCTGTCTAGTTTTTATGTGCGGATATTTCCTTTTCCACCATAGGCATCAAAGCGCTCCAAATATCCAACTGCAGATTCTACAAAAAGAGTGTTTCAAAACTGCTCTATCAAAGAAATTTTCAACTCTGTGAGTTGAATGCACACATCACAAAGACGTTTCTGAGAATGCTTCTGCTCTAGTTTTTCTTGTGAAGGTGTTTCCTTTTCCACCATAGGTCTCAAAGCGCTCCAAATATCCACTTGCAGATTCTTCAGAAAGATTGTTTCAAAACTGCTCAATCATAGGAAAAGTTCAACTCTGTGAGTTGAATGCACACAACACAAAGAAGTTTCTGAGAATGCTTCTGTCTAGTTTTTATGTGAAGATATTTCCTTTTACACCATAGGCCTCAAACTGCTCCAAATATCCACTTGTGGATTCTACAAAAAGTCTTTTTCAAAACTGCTCAATCAAAGGAAAGGTTCAACTCTGTGAGTTGAATGCACACAACACAAACAAGTTTCTGAGAATGCTGCTGTCTAGATTTTATGTGCGGATATTTCATTTTCCACCATAGGCATCAAAGCGCTCCAAATATCCAACCGCAGATTGTACAAAAATAGTGTTTCAAAACTGCTCTATCAAATAAAAAGTTTCAACTCTTTGAGTTGAATGCACACATCAGAAAGAAGTTTCTGAGAATGCTTCTGCTCCAGTTTTTTTTGTGAAGGTGTTTCCTTTTCCACCATAGGCCTCAAAGCGCTCCAAATATCCACTTTCAGATTCCTGAAAAAGAGTGTTTTAAAACTCCTCTATCAACATAAATGTTCAACTCTGTGAGTTGAATGCACTCATCACAAAGATATTTCTGAGAATGCTTCCGCCTAGTTTTTATGTGTAGGTATTTCCTTTTCCACCATAGGCCTCAAAGCACTCCAAATATCCACTTTCAGATTCTAGAAAAAGAGTGATTTAAAACTGCTCTATCAACAGAAAGGTTCGACTCTGTGGGTTGAATGCACTTATCACAAAGAAGTTTCTGAGAATGCTTCTGTCTAGTTTTTATGTGAAGATATTTCCTTTTCCACCATAAGCCTCAAAGAGCTCCAAATATCTACTTACAGGTTCTACAAAAAGAGTTTCAAAACTGCTCTACAAAAGAAAGGTTCAACTCTGCGAGTTGAATTCACACATCACAAAGAAGTTTCAGAGAATGCTTCTGTCTAGTTTTTATGTGAAGATATTTCCTTTTACACCATAGGCCTCAAACCGCTCCAAATATCCACTTGCAGATTCTGCAAAAAGACTTTTTCAAAACTGCTCAATCAAAGGAAAGGTCAACTCTGTGAGTTGAATGCACACAACACAAACAAGTTTCTGAGAATGCTGCTGTCTAGTTTTTATGTGCGGATATTTCCTTTTCCACCATAGGCATCAAAGCGCTCCAAATATCCAACTGCAGATTCTACAAAAAGAGTGTTTCAAAACTGCTCTATCAAAGAAAGGTTCAACTCTGTGAGTTGAATGCACACATCACAAAGACGTTTCTGAGAATGCTTCTGCTCTAGTTTTTTCGTGAAGGTGTTTCCTTTTCCAGCATAGGCCTCAAAGCGCTCCAAATATCCACTTGCAGATTCTTCAGAAAGAGTGTTTCAAAACTGCTCAATCACAGGAAAAGTTCAACTCTGTGAGTTGAATGCACACAACACAAAGAAGTTTCTGAGAATGCTTCTGTCTAGTTTTTATGTGAAGATATTTCCTTTTACACCATAGGCCTCAAACTGCTCCAAATATCCACTTGTGGATTCTACAAAAAGACTTTTTCAAAACTGCTCAATCAAAGGAAAGGTTCAACAATGTGAGTTGAATGCACACAACACAAACAAGCTTCTGAGAATGCTGCTGTCTAGATTTTATGTGCGGATATTTCGTTTTCCACCATAGGCATCAAAACGCTCCAAATATCCAACCGCAGATTGTACAAAAATAGTGTTTCAAAACTGCTCTATCAAAAAAAAAGGTGCAACTCTGTGAGTTGAATGCACACATCACAAAGAAGTTTCAGAGAATGCTTCTGCTCTAGTTTTTTTTGTGAAGGTGTTTCCTTTTCCACCATAGGCCTCAAAGCACTCCAAATATCCACTTTCAGATTCCTGAAAAAGAGTCTTTTAAAAGTCCTCTATCAACATAAATGTTCAACTCTGTGAGTTGAATGCACTCATCACAAAGATATTTCTGAGAATGCTTCCGCCTAGTTTTTATGTGTAGGTATTTCCTTTTCCACCATAGGCCTCAGAGCACTCCAAATATCCACTTTCAGATTCTAGAAAAAGAGTGATTTAAAACTGCTCTATCAACAGAAAGGTTCTACTCTGTGAGTTGAATGCACTTATGACAACGAAGTTTCTGAGAATGCTTCTGTCTAGTTTTTATGTGAAGATATTTCCTTTTCCACCATAAGCCTCAAAGCGCTCCAAATATCTACTTACAGATTCTACAAAAAGAGTTTCAAAACTGCTCTACAAAAGAAAGGTTCAACTCTGCGAGTTGAATTCACACATCACAAAGAAGTTTCAGAGAATGCTTCTGTCTGGTTTTTATATGAAGATATTTCCTTTTACACCATAGGCCTCAAACCGCTCCAAATATCCACTTGCAGATTCTGCAAAAAGACATTTTCAAAACTGCTCAATCAAAGGAAAGCTCAACACTGTGAGTTGAATGCACACAACACAAAAAAGTTTCTGAGAATGCTGCTGTCCAGTTTTTATGGGCGGATATTTCCTTTTCCACCATAGGCATCAAAGCGCTCCAAATATCCAACTGCAGATTCTACAAAAAGAGTGTTTCAAAACTGCTCTATCAAAGAAAGGTTCAACTCTGTGAGTTGAATGCACACATCACAAAGACGTTTCTGAGAATGCTTCTGCTCTAGTTTTTTTGTGAAGGTGTTTCCTTTTCCACCATAGGCCTCAAAGCGCTCCAAATATCCACTTGCAGATTCTTCAGAAAGAGTGTTTCAAAACTGCTCAATCATAGGAAAAGTTCAACTCTGTGAGTTGAATGCACACAACACAAAGAAGTTTCTGAGAATGCTTCTGTCTAGTTTTTATGTGAAGATATTTCCTTTTACACCATAGGCCTCAAACTGCTCCAAATATCCACTTGTGGATCCTACAAAAAGACTATTTCAAAACTGCTCAATCAAAGGAAAGGTTCAACTCTGTGAGCTGAATGCACACAACACAAACAAGTTTCTGAGAATGCTGCTGTCTAGATTTTATGTGCGGATATTTCGTTTTCCACCATAGGCATCAAAGCGCTCCAAATATCCAACTGCAGATTGTACAAAAATAGTGTTTCACAACTGCTCTATCAAAAAAAAAGATTCAACTCTGTGAGTTGAATGCACACATCACAAAGAACTTTCTGAGAATGCTTCTGCTCTAGTTTTTTTTGTGAAGGTGTTTCCTTTTCCACCATAGGCCTCAAAGCGCTCCAAATATCCACTTTCAGATTCCTGAAAAAGAGTGTTTTAAAACTCCTCTATCAACATAAATGTTCAACTCTGTGAGTTGAATGCACTCATCACAAAGATATTTCTGAGAATGCTTACGCCTAGTTTTTATGTGTAGGTATTTCCTTTTCCACCATAGGCCTCAAAGCACTCCAAATATCCACTTTCAGATTCTAGAAAAAGAGTGATTTAAAACTGCTCTATCAACAGAAAGGTTCGACTCTGTGAGTTGAATGCACTTATCACAAAGAAGTTTCTGAGAATGCTTCTGTCTAGTTTTTATGTGAAGATATTTCCTTTTCCACCATAAGCCTCAAAGCGCTCCAAATATCTACTTACAGATTCTACAAAAAGGGTTTCAAAACTGCTCTACAAAAGAAAGGTTCAACTCTGCGAGTTGAATTCACACATCACAAAGAAGTTTCAGAGAATGCTTCCGTCTAGATTTTATGTGAAGATATTTCCTTTTACACCATAGGCCTCAAACCGCTCCAAATATCCACTTGCAGATTCTGCAAAAAGACTTTTTCAAAACTGCTCAATCAAAGGAAAGGTTCAACTCTGTGAGTTGAATGCACACAACACAAACAAGTTTCTGAGAATGCTGCTGTCTAGTTTTTATGTGCGGATATTTCCTTTTCCACCATAGGCATCAAAGCGCTCCAAATATCCAACTGCAGATTCTACAAAAAGAGTGTTTCAAAACTGCTCTATCAAAGAAAGGTTCAACTCTGTGAGTTGAATGCACACATCACAAAGACGTTTCTGAGAAAGCTTCTGCTCTAGTTTTTTTGTGAAGGTGTTTCCTTTTCCACCATAGGCCTCAAAGCGCTCCAAATATCCACTTGCAGATTCTTCAGAAAGAGTGTTTCAAAACTGCTCAATCATAGGAAAAGTTCAACTCTGTGAGTTGAATGCACACAACACAAAGAAGTTTCTGAGAATGCTTCTGTCTAGTTTTTATGTGAAGATATGTCCTTTTACACCATAGGCCTCAAACTGCTCCAAATATCCACTTGTGGATTCTACAAAAAGACTTTTTCAAAACTGCTCAATCAAAGGAAAGGTTCAACTCTGTAAGTTGAATGCACACAACATAAACAAGTTTCTGAGAATGCTGCTGTCTAGATTTTATGTGCGGATATTTCGTTTTCCACCATAGGCATCAAAGCGCTCCAAATATCCAACCACAGATTGTACAAAAATAGTGTTTCAAAACTGCTCTATCAAATAAAAAGTTTCAACTCTGTGAGTTGAATGCACACATCACAACGAAGTTTCTGAGAATGCTTCTGCTCTAGTTTTTTTTGTGATGGTGTTTCCTTTTCCACCATAGGCCTCAAAGTGCTCCAAATATCCACTTTCAGATTCCTGAAAAAGAGTGTTTTAAAACTCCTCTATCAACATAAGTGTTCAACTCTGTGAGTTGAATGCACTCATCACAAAGATACTTCTGAGAATGCTTCCGCCTAGTTTTTATGTGTAGGTATTTCCTTTTCCACCATAGGCCTCAAAGCACTCCAAATATCCACTTTCAGATTCTAGAAAAAGAGTGATTTAAAACTGCTCTATCAACAGAAAGGTTCGACTCTGTGAGTAGAATGCACTTATCACAAAGAAGTTTCTGAGAATGCTTCTCTGTCTAGTTTTTATGTGAAGATATTTCCTTTTCCACCATAAGCCTCAAAGCGCTCCAAATATCTACTTACAGATTCTACAAAAAGAGTTTCAAAACTGCTCTACAAAAGAAAGGTTCAACTCTGTGAGTTGAATTCACACATCACAAAGAAGTTTCAGAGAATGCTTCTGTCTAGTTTTTATGTGAAGATATTTCCTTTTACACCATAGGCCTCAAACGCTCCAAATATCCACTTGCAGATTCTGCAAAAGGACTTTTTCAAAACTGCTCAATCAAAGGAAAGTTTCAACTCTGTGAGTTGAATGCACACAACACAAACAAGTTTCTGAGAATGCTGCTGTCTAGTTTTTATGTGCGGATATTTACTTTTCCACCATAGGCATCAAAGCGCTCCAAATATCCAACTGCAGATTCTACAAAAAGAGTGTTTCAAAACTGCTCTATCAAAGAAAGGTTCAACTCTGTGAGTTGAATGCACACATCACAAAGACGTTTCTGAGAATGCTTCTGCTCTAGTTTTTTTGTGAAGGTGTTTCCTTTTCCACCATAGGCATCAAAGCGCTCCAAATATCCACTTGCAGATTCCTCAGAAAGAGTGTTTCAAAACTGCTCAATCATAGGAAAAGTTCAACTCTGTGAGTTGAATGCACACAACACAAAGAAGTTTCTGAGAATGCTTCTGTCTAGTTTTTATGTGAAGATATTTCCTTTTACACCATAGGCCTCAAACTGCTCCAAATATCCACTTGTGGATTCTACAAAAAGACTATTTCAAAACTGCTCAATCAAAGGAAAGGTTCAACTCTGTGAGCTGAATGCACACAACACAAACAAGTTTCTGAGAATGCTGCTGTCTAGATTTTATGTGCGGATATTTCGTTTTCCACCATAGGCATCAAAGCGCTCCAAATATCCAACCGCAGATTGTACAAAAATAGTGTTTCAAAACTGCTCTATCAAAAAAAAAGGTTCAACTCTGTGAGTTGAATGCACACATCACAAAGAAGTTCCTGAGAATGCTTCTGCTCTAGTTTTTTTTTGTGAAGGTGTTTCCTTTTCCACCATAGGCCTCAAAGCGCTCCAAATATCCACTTTCAGATTCCTGAAAAAGAGTGTTTTAAAACTCCTCTATCAACATAAATGTTCAACTCTGTGAGTTGAATACACTCATCACAAAGATATTTCTGAGAATGCTTCCGCCTAGTTTTTATGTGTAGGTATTTCCTTTTCCACCATAGGCCTCAGAGCACTCCAAATATCCACTTTCAGATTATAGAAAAAGAGTGATTTAAAACTGCTCTATCAACAGAAAGGTTCGACTCGGTGAGTTGAATGCACTTATCACAAAGAAGTTTCTGAGAATGCTTCTGTCTAGCTTTTAAGTGAAGATATTTCCTTTTCCACCATAGGCTTCAGTGTGCTCCAAATATCCACTTGCAGATTCTACAAAAAGAGTGTTTCAAAACTGCTCTACGAAAGAAATGTTCAACTATCTGAATTGAATGAACTCATCACAAAGAAGTTGCTGAGAATACTTCTGTCTACGTTTTATGTGAAGATATTTCCTTTTACACCATAGGCCTCAAACCGCTCCAAATATCCACTTGCAGATTCTGCAAAAAGACATTTTCAAAACTGCTCAATCAAAGGAAAGTCCAACTCTGTGAGTTGAATGCACACAACACAAACACGTTTCTGAGAATGCTGCTGTCTACTTTTTATATGCGGATATTTCCTTTCCCACCATAGGCATCAAAGAGCTCCAAATATCCAATTGCAGATTCTACAAAAAGAGTGCTTCAAAACTGCTCAATCAAAGAAAGGTTCAACTCTGTGAGTTGAATGCACACATCACAAAGAAGTTTCTGAGAATGCTTCTGCTCTAGTTTTTTTGTGAAGGTGTTTCCTTTTCCACCATAGGCCTCAAAGCGCTCCAAATATCCACTTGCAGATTCTTCAGAAAGAGTGTTTCAAAACTGCTCAATCATAGGAAAAGTTCAACTCTATGAGTTGAATGCACACAACACAAAGAAGTTTCTGAGAATGCTTCTGTCTAGTTTTTATGTGAAGATATTTCCTTTTACACCATAGGCCTCAAAGTGCTCCAAATATCCACTTGTGGATTCTACAAAAAGACTTTTTCAAAACTGCTCAATCAAAGGAAAGGTTCAACTCTGTGAGTTGAATGCACACAACACAAACAAGTTTCTGAGAATGCTGCTGTCTAGATTTTATGTGCGGATATTTCGTTTTCCACCATAGGCATCAAAGCGCTCCAAATATCCAACCGCAGATTGTACAAAAATAGTGTTTCAAAACTGCTCTATCAAAAAAAAAGGTTCAACTCTGTGAGTTGAATGCACACATCACAAAGACGTTTCTGAGAATGCTTCTGCTCTAGTTTTTTTTGTGAAGGTGTTTCCTTTTCCACCATAGGCCTCAAAGCGCTCCAAATATCCACTTTCAGATTCCTGAAAAAGAGTGTTTTAAAACTCCTCTATCAACATAAATGTTCAACTCTGTGAGTTGAATGCACTCATCACAAAGATATTTCTGAGAATGCTTCTGCCTAGTTTTTATGTGTAGGCATTTCCTTTTCCACCATAGGCCTCAGAGCACTCCAAATATCCACTTTCAGATTCTAGAAAAAGAGTGATTTAAAACTGCTCTATCAACAGAAAGGTTCGACTCCGTGAGTTGAATGAACTTATCACAAAGAAGTTTCTGAGAATGCTTCTGTCTAGTTTTTATGTGAAGATATTTCCTTTTCCACCATAAGCCTCAAAGCGCTCCAAATATCTACTTACAGATTCTACAAAAAGAGTTTCAAAACTGCTCTACAAAAGAAAGGTTCAACTCCGTGAGTTGAATTCACACATCACAAAGAAGTTTCAGAGAATGCTTCTGTCTAGTTTTTATGTGAAGATATTTCCTTTTACACCATAGGCCTCAAACCGCTCCAAATATCCACTTGTAGATTCTGCAAAAAGACTTTTTCAAAACTGCTCAATCAAAGGAAAGCTCAACTCTGTGAGTTGAATGCACACAACACAAACAAGTTTCTGAGAATGCTGTTGCCTAGTTTTTATGTGCGGATATTTCCTTTTCCACCATAGGCATCAAAGCGCTCCAAATATCCAACTGCAGATTCTACAAAAAGAGTGTTTCAAAACTGCTCTATCAAAGAAAGGTTCAACTCTGTGAGTTGAATGCACACATCACAAAGACGTTTCTGAGAATGCTTCTGCTCTAGTTTTTTTTGTGAAGATGTTTCCTTTTCCACCATAGGCCTCAAAGCGCTCCAAATATCCACTTGCAGATTCTTCAGAAAGAGTGTTTCAAAACTGCTCAATCATAGGAAAAGTTCAACTCTGTGAGTTGAATGCACACAACACAAAGAAGTTTCTGAGAATGCTTCTGTCTAGTTTTTATGTGAAGATATTTCCTTTTACACCATAGGCCTCAAACTGCTCCAAATATCCACTTGTGGATTCTACAAAAAGACTTTTTCAAAACTGCTCAATCAAAGGAAAGGTTCAACTCTGTGAGTTGAATGCACCCAACACAAACAAGTTTCTGAGAACGCTGCTGTCTAGATTTTATGTGCGGATATTTCGTTTTCCACCATAGGCAACAAAGCGCTCCAATTATCCAACCACAGATTGTACAAAAATAGTGTTTCAAAACTGCTCTATCAAATAAAAAGGTTCAACTCTGTGAGTTGAATGCACACATCACAAAGAAGTTTCTGAGAATGCTTCTGCTCTAGTTTTTTTTTGTGAAGGTGTTTCCTTTTCCACCATAGGCCTCAAAGCGCTCCAAATATCCACTTTCAGATTCCTGAAAAAGAGTGTTTTAAAACTCCTCTATCAACATAAATGTTCAACTCTGTGAGTTGAATGCACTCATCACAAAGATATTTCTGAGAATGCTTCCGCCTAGTTTTTATGGGTAGGTATTTCCTTTTCCACCATAGGCCTCAGAGCACTCCAAATATCCACTTTCAGATTCTAGAAAAAGAGAGATTTAAAACTGCTCTATCAACAGAAAGTTTCGACTCTGTGAGTTGAATGCACTTATCACAAAGAAGTTTCTGAGAATGCTTCTGTCTAGTTTTTATGTGAAGATATTTCCTTTTCCTCCATAAGCCTCAAAGCGCTCCAAATATCTACTTACAGATTCTACAAAAAGAGTTTCAAAACTGCTCTACAAAAGAAAGGTTCAACTCTGTGAGTTGAATTCACACATCACAAAGAAGTTTCAGAGAATGCTTCTGTCTAGTTTTTATGTGAAGATATTTCCTTTTACACCATAGGCCTCAAAACGCTCCAAATATCCACTTGCAGATTCTGCAAAAAGACTTTTTCAAAACTGCTCAATCAAAGGAAAGGTCAACTCTGTGAGTTGAATGCACACAACACAAACAAGTTTCTGAGAATGCTGCTGTCTACTTTTTATGTGCGGATATTTCCTTTTCCACCATAGGCATCAAAGCGCTCCAAATATCCAACTGCAGATTCTACAAAAAGAGTGTTTCAAAACTGCTCTATCAAAGAAAGGTTCAACTCTGTGAGTTGAATGCACACATCACAAAGACGTTTCTGAGAATGCTTCTGCTCTAGTTTTTTTGTGAAGGTGTTTCCTTTTCCACCATAGGCCTCAAAGCGCTCCAAATATCCACTTGCAGATTCTTCAGAAAGAGTGTTTCAAAACTGCTCAATCATAGGAAAAGTTCAACTCTGTGAGTTGAATGCACACAACACAAAGAAGTTTCTGAGAATGCTTCTGTCTAGTTTTTATGTGAAGATATTTCCTTTTACACCATAGGCCTCAAACTGCTCCAAATATCCACTTGTGGATTCTACAAAAAGACTTTTTCAAAACTGCTCAATCAAAGGAAAGGTTCAACTCTGTGAGCTGAATGCACACAACACAAACAAGTTTCTGAGAATGTTGCTGTCCAGATTTTATGTGCGGATATTTTGTTTTCCACCATAGGCATCAAAGCGCTCCAAATATCCAAACGCAGATTGTACAAAAATAGTGTTTCAAAGCTGCTCTATCAAATAAAAAGGTTCAACTCTGTGAGTTGAATGCACACAATACAAGAAGTTTCTGAGAATGCTTCTGTCTAGTTTTTATGTGAAGATATTTCCTTTTACACCATAGGCCTCAAACAGCTCCAAATATCCACTTGTGGATTCTACAAAAAGTCTTCTTCAAAACTGCTCAATCAAAGGAAAGGTTCAACTCTGTGAGCTGAATGCACACAACACAAACAAGTTTCTGAGAATGCTGCTGTCTAGATTTTATGTGCGGATATTTCGTTTTCCACCATAGGCATCAAAGCGCTCCAAATATCCAACCGCAGATTGTACAAAAATAGTGTTTCAAAACTGCTCTATCAAAAAAAAAGTTTCAACTCTGTGAGTTGAATGCACACATCACAAAGAATCTTCTGAGAATGCTTCTGCTCTAGTTTTTTTTGTGAAGGTGTTTCCTTTTCCACCATAGGCCTCAAAGCGCTCCAAATATCCACTTTCAGATTCCCGAAAAAGAGTGTTTTAAAACTCCTCTATCAACATAAATGTTCAACTCTGTGAGTTGAATGCACTCATCACAAAGATATTTCTGAGAATGCTTCCGCCTAGTTTTTATGTGTAGGTATTTCCTTTTCCACCATAGGCCTCAAAGCATTCGAAATATCCACTTTCATATTCTAGAAAAAGAGTGATTTAAAACTGCTCTATCAACAGAAAGGTTCGACTCTGTGAGTTGAATGCACTTATCACAAAGAAGTTTCTGAGAATGCTTCTGTCTAGTTTTTATGTGAAGATATTTCCTTTTCCACCATAAGCCTCAAAGCACTCCAAATATCTACTTACAGATTCTACAAAAAGAGTTTCAAAACTGCTCTACAAAAGAAAGGTTCAACTCTGTGAGTTGAATTCACACATCACAAAGAAGTTTCAGAGAATGCTTCTGTCTAGTTTTTATGTGAAGATATTTCCTTTTACACCATAGGCCTCCAACCGCTCCAAATATCCACTTGCAGATTCTGCAAAAAGACTTTTTCAAAACTGCTCAATCAAAGGAAAGGTCAACTCTGTGAGTTGAATGCACACAACACAAACAAGTTTCTGAGAATGCTGCTGTCTAGTTTTTATGTGCGGATATTTCCTTTTCCACCATAGGCATCAAAGCGCTCCAAATATCCAACTGCAGATTCTACAAAAAGAGTGTTTCAAAACTGCTCTATCAAAGAAAGGTTCAACACTGTCAGTTGAATGCACACATCAAAAAGACGTTTCTGAGAATGCTTCTGCTCTAGTTTTATTGTGAAGGTGTTTCCTTTTCCACCATAGGTCTCAAAGCGCTGCAAATATCCACTTGCAGATTCTTCAGAAAGAGTGTTTCAAAACTGCTCAATCATAGGAAAAGTTCAACTCTGTGAGTTGAATGCACACAACACAAAGAAGTTTCTGAGAATACTTCTGTCTAGTTTTTATGTGAAGATATTTCCTTTTACACCATAGGCCTCAAACCGCTCCAAATATCCACTTGTGGATTCTACAAAAAGACTTTTTCAAAACTGCTCAATCAAAGGAAAGGTTCAACTCTGTGAGTTGAATGCACACAACACAAACAAGTTTCTGAGAATGCTGCTGTCTAGATTTTATATGCGGATATTTCGTTTTCCACCATAGGCATCAAAGCGCTCCAAATATCCAACCGCAGATTGTACAAAAATAGTGTTTCAAAACTGCTCTATCCAAAAAAAAGGTTCAACTCTGTGAGTTGAATGCACACATCACAAAGAAGTTCCTGAGGATGCTTCTGCTCTAGTTTTTTTTGTGAAGGTGTTTCCTTTTCCACCATAGGCCTCAAAGCGCTCCAAATATCCACTTTCAGATTCCTGAAAAAGAGTGTTTTAAAACTCCTCTATCAACATAAATGTTCAACTCTGTGAGTTGAATGCACTCATCACAAAGATATTTCTGAGAATGCTTCCGCCTAGTTTTTATGTGTAGGTATTTCGTTTTCCACCATAGGCCTCAAAGCACTCCAAATATCCACTTTCAGATTCTAGAAAAAGAGTGATTTAAAACTGCTCTATCAACAGAAAGGTTCGACTCTGTGGGTTGAATGCACTTATCACAAAGAAGTTTCTGAGAATGCTTCTGTCTAGTTTTTATGTGAAGATATTTCCTTTTCCACCATAAGCCTCAAAGCGCTCCAAATATCTACTTACAGATTCTACAAAAAGAGTTTCAAAACTGCTCTACAAAAGAAAGGTTCAACTCTGTGAGTTGAATTCACACATCACAAAGAAGTTTCAGAGAATGCTTCTGTCTAGTTTTTATGTGAAGATATTTCCTTTTACACCATAGGCCTCAAACCGCTCCAAATATCCACTTGCAGATTCTGCAAAAAGACTTTTTCAAAACTGCTCAATCAAAGGAAAGCTCAACTCTGTGAGTTGAATGCACACAACACAAACAAGTTTCTGAGAATGCTGCTGTCTAGTTTTTATGTGCGGATATTTCCTTTTCCACCATAGGCATCAAAGCGCTCCAAATATCCAACTGCAGATTCTACAAAAAGAGTGTTTCAAAACTGCTCTATCAAAGAAAGGTTCAACTCTGTGAGTTGAATGCACACATCACAAAGACGTTTCTGAGAATGCTTCTGCTCTAGTTTTTTTGTGAAGGTGTTTCCTTTTCCACCATAGGCCTCAAAGCGCTCCAAATATCCACTTGCAGATTCTTCAGAAAGAGTGTTTCAAAACTGCTCAATCATAGGAAAAGTTCAACTCTGTGAGTTGAATGCACACAACACAAAACAGTTTCTGAGAATGCTTCTGTCTAGTTTTTATGTGAAGATATTTCCTTTTACACCATAGGCCTCAAACTGCTCCAAATATCCACTTGTGGATTCTACAAAAAGACTATTTCAAAACTGCTCAGTCAAAGGAAAGGTTCAACTCTGTGAGCTGAATGCACACAACACAAACAAGTTTCTGAGAATGCTGCTGTCTAGATTTTATGTGCGGATATTTCGTTTTCCACCATAGGCATCAAAGCGCTCCAAATATCCAACCGCAGATTGTACAAAAATAGTGTTTCAAAACTGCTCTATCAAATAAAAAGTTTCAACTCTGTGAGTTGAATGCACACATCACAACGAAGTTTCTGAGAATGCTTCTGCTCTAGTTTTTTTGTGAAGGTGTTTCCTTTTCCACCATAGGCCTCAAAGCGCTCCAAATATCCACTTTCAGATTCCTGAAAAAGAGTGTTTTAAAACTCCTCTATCAACATAAGTGTTCAACTCTGTGAGTTGAATGCACTCATCACAAAGATATTTCTGAGAATGCTTCCGCCTAGTTTTTATGTGTAGGTATTTCCTTTTCCACCATAGGCCTCAAAGCACTCCAAATATCCACTTTCAGATTCTAGAAAAAGAGTGATTTAAAACTGCTCTATCAACAGAAAGGTTCGACTCAGTGAGTTGAATGCACTTATCACAAAGAAGTTTCTGAGAATACTTCTGTCTAGCTTGTATGTGAAGATATTTCCTTTTCCATCATAGGCTTCAATGTGCTCCAAATATCCACTTGTAGATTCTACAGAAAGAGTGTTTCAAAACTGCTCTATCAAAAGAAATGTTCAACTATGTGAATTGAATGAACTCATCACAAAGAAGTTTCTGAGAATGCTTCTGTCTAGTTTTCATGTGAAGATATTTCCTTTTACACCATAGACCTCAAACTGCTCCAAATATCCACTTGTAGATTCTACAAAAAGACTTTTTCAAAACTGCTCAATCAAAGGAAAAGTTCAACTCTGTGAGTTGAATGCACACAACACAAACAAGGTTCTGAGAATGCTGCTGTCTACTTTTTATATGCGGATATTTCCTTTCCCACCATAGGCATCAAAGAGCTCTAAATATCCAATTGCAGATTCTACAAAAAGAGTGTTTCAAAACTGCTCTATCAAAGAAAGGTTTAACTCTGAGTTGAATGCACAAATCACAAAGAATTTTCTGAGAATGCTTCTGCTCTAGTTATTTTGTGAAGGTGTTTCCTTTTCCACTATAGGCCTCAAAGTGCTCCAAATATCCACTTTCCCAATCCAGAAAAAGAGTGTTTTAAAACTGCTCTATCAACAGAAAGGTTCAACTCTGTGAGTTGAATGCACTTATCACAAAGAAGTTTCTGAGAATGCTTCTGTCTAGTTTTTATGTGAAGATATTTCCTTTTACAACATAGGCCTCAAACTGCTCCAAATATCCACTTGTGGATTCTACAAAAAGACTTTTTCAAACTGCTCAATCAAAGGAAAGGTTCAACTCTGGGAGCTGAATGCACACAACACAAACAAGTTTCTGAGAATGCTGCTGTCTAGATTTTATGTGCGGATATTTCGTTTTCCACCATAGGCATCAAAGCGCTCCAAACATCCAACCGCACATTGTACAAAAATAGTGTTTCAAAACTGCTCTATCAAAAAAAAAGGTTCAACTCTGTGAGTTGAATGCACACATCACAAAGAAGTTTCTGAGAATGCTTCTGCTCTAGTTTTTTTTGTGAAGGTGTTTCCTTTTCCACCATAGGCCTCAAAGCGCTCCAAATATCCACTTTCAGATTCCTGAAAAAGAGTGTTTTAAAACTCCTCTATCAACATAAATGTTCAACTCCTTGAGTTCAATGCACTCATCACAAAGATATTTCTGAGAATGCTTACGCCTAGTTTTTATGTGTAGGTATTTCCTTTTCCACCATAAGCCTCAAAGCACTCCAATTATCCACTTTCAGATTCTAGAAAAAGAGTGATTTAAAACTGCTCTATCAACAGAAAGGTTCGACTCTGTGAGTTGAATGCACTTATCACAAAGAAGTTTCTGAGAATGCTTCTGTCTAGTTTTTATGTGAAGATATTTCCTTTTCCACCATAAGCCTCAAAGCGCTCCAAATATCTACTTACAGATTCTACAAAAAGAGTTTCAAAACTGCTCTACAAAAGAAAGGTTCAACTCTGTGAGTTGAATTCACACATCACAAAGAAGTTTCAGAGAATGCTTCTGTCTAGTTTCTATGTGAAGATATTTCCTTTTACACCATAGGCCTCAAAGCCTCCAAATATCCACTTGCAGATTCTGCAAAAGGACTTTTTCAAAACTGCTCAATCAAAGGAAAGTTTCAACTCTGTGAGATGAATGCACACAACACAAACAAGTTTCTGAGAATGCTGCTGTCTAGTTTTTATGTGCGGATATTTCCTTTTCCAACATAGGCATCAAAGCGCTCCAAATATCCAACTGCAGATTCTACAAAAAGAGTGTTTCAAAACTGCTCTATCAAAGAAAGGTTCAATTCTGTGAGTTGAATGCACACATCAAAAAGACGTTTCTGAGAATGCTTCTGCTCTAGTTTTATTTGTGACGGTGTTTCCTTTTCCACCATAGGCCTCAAAGCGCTCCAAATATCCACTTGCAGATTCTTCAGAAAGAGTGTTTCAAAACTGCTCAATCATAGGAAAAGTTCAACTCTGTGAGTTGAATGCACACAACACAAAGAAGTTTCGGAGAATGCTTCTGTCTAGTTTTTATGTGAAGATATTTCCTTTTACACCATAGGCCTCAAACTGCTCCAAATATCCACTTGTGGATTCTACAAAAAGACTTTTTCAAAACTGCTCAATCAAAGGAAAGGTTCAACTCTGTGAGTTGAATGCACACAACACAAACAAGTTTCTGAGAATGCTGCTGTCTAGATTTTATGTGCGGATATTTCGTTTTCCACCATAGGCATCAAAGCGCTCCAAATATCCAACCGCAGATTGTACAAAAATAGTGTTTCAAAACTGCTCTATCAAAAAAAAAGGTTCAACTCTGTGAGTTGAATGCACACATCACAAAGAACTTTCTGAGAATGCTTCTGCTCTAGTTTTTTTTGTGAAGGTGTTTCCTTTTCCACCATAGGCCTCAAAGCGCTCCAAATATCCACTTTCATATTCCCGAAAAAGTGTGTTTTAAAACTCCTCTATCAACATAAATGTTCAACTCTGTGAGGTGAATGCACTCATCACAAAGATATTTCTGAGAATGCTTCCGCCTAGTTTTTATGTGTAGGTATTTCCTTTTCCACCATAGGCCTCAAAGCACTCCAAATATCCACTTTCAGATTCTAGAAAAAGAGTGATTTAAAACTGCTCTATCAACAGAAAGGTTCGACTCTGTGAGTTGAATGCACTTATCACAAAGAAGTTTCTGAGAATACTTCTGTCAAGTTTTTATGTGAAGATATTTCCTTTTCCACCATAAGCCTCAAAGCGCTCCAAATATCTACTTACAGATTCTACAAAAAGAGTTTCAAAACTGCTCTACAAAAGAAAGGTTCAACTCTGTGAGTTGAATTCACACATCACAAAGAAGTTTCAGAGAATGCTTCTGTCTAGTTTTTATGTGAAGATATTTCCTTTTACACCATAGGCCTCAAACCGCTCCAAATATCCACTTGCAGATTCTGCAAAAAGACTTTTTCAAAACTGCTCAATCAAAGGAAAGGTCAACTCTGTGAGTTGAATGCACACAACACAAACAAGTTTCTGAGAATGCTGCTGTCTAGTTTTTATGTGCGGATATTTCCTTTTCCACCATAGGCATCAAAGCGCTCCAAATCTCCAACTGCAGATTCTACAAAAAGAGTGTTTCAAAACTGCTCTATCAAAGAGAGGTTCAACTCTGTGAGTTGAATGCACACATCACAAAGACGTTTCTGAGAATGCTTCTGCTCTAGTTTTTTTGTGAAGGTGTTTCCTTTTCCACCATAGGCCTCAAAGCGCTACAAATATCCACTTGCAGATTCTTCAGAAAGAGTGTTTCAAAACTGCTCAATCATAGGAAAAGTTCAACTCTGTGAGTTGAATGCACACAACACAAAGAAGTTTCTGAGAATGCTTCTGTCTAGTTTTTATGTGAAGATATTTCCTTTTACAACATAGGCCTCAAACTGCTCCAAATATCCACTTGTGGATTCTACAAAAAGACTTTTTCAAACTGCTCAATCAAAGGAAAGGTTCAACTCTGGGAGCTGAATGCACACAACACAAACAAGTTTCTGAGAATGCTGCTGTCTAGATTTTATGTGCGGATATTTCGTTTTCCACCATAGGCATCAAAGCGCTCCAAATATCCAACCGCAGATTGTACAAAGATAGTGTTTCAAAACTGCTCTATCAAAAAAAAAAGGTTCAACTCTGTGAGTTGAATGCACACATCACAAAGAAGTTCCTGAGAATGCTTCTGCTCTAGTTTTTTTTTCTGAAGGTGTTTCCTTTTCCACCATAGGCCTCAAAGCGCTCCAAATATCCACTTTCAGATTCCTGAAAAAGAGTGTTTTAAAACTCCTCTATCAACATAAATGTTCAACTCTGTGAGTTGAATGCACTCATCACAAAGATATTTCTGAGAATGCTTCCGCCTAGTTTTTATGGGTAGGTATTTCCTTTTCCACCATAGGCCTCAAAGCACTCCAAATATCCACTTTCAGATTCTAGAAAAAGAGTGATTTAAAACTGCTCTATCAACAGAAAGGTTCGACTCTGTGAGTTGAATGCACTTATCAGAAAGAAGTTTCTGAGAATGCTTCTGTCTAGATTTTATGTGAAGATATTTCCTTTTCCACCATAAGACTCAAAGCGCTCCAAATATCTACTTACAGATTCTACAAAAAGAGTTTCAAAACTGCTCTACAAAAGAAAGGTTCAACTCTGCGAGTTGAATTCACACATCACAAAGAAGTTTCAGAGAATGCTTCTGTCTAGTTTTTACGTGAAGATATTTCCTTTTACACCATAGGCCTCAAACCGCTCCAAATATCCACTTGCAGATTCCTGAAAAAGAGTGTTTTAAAACTCCTCTATCAACATAAATGTTCAACTCTGTGAGTTGAATGCACTCATCACAAAGATATTTCTGAGAATGCTTCCGCATAGTTTTTATGTGTAGGTATTTCCCTTTCCACCATAGGCCTCAAAGCACACCAAATATCCACTTTCAGATTCTAGAAAAAGAGTGATTTAAAACTGCTCTATCAACAGAAAGGTTTGACTCTGTGAGTTGAATGCACTTATCACAAAGAAGTTTCTGAGAATGCTTCTGTCTAGTTTTTATGTGAAGATATTTCCTTTTCCACCATAAGCCTCAAAGCGCTCCAAATATCTACTTACAGATTCTACAAAAAGAGTTTCAAAACTGCTCTACAAAAGAAAGGTTCAACTCTGTGAGTTGAATTCACACATCACAAAGAAGTTTCAGAGAATGCTTCTGTCTAGTTTTTATGTGAAGATATTTCCTTTTACACCATAGGCCTCAAACCGCTCCAAATATCCACTTGCAGATTCTGCAAAAAGACTTTTTCAAAACTGCTCAATCAAAGGAAAGGTCAACTCTGTGAGTTGAATGTACACAACACAAACAAGTTTCTGAGAATGCTGCTGTCTAGTTTTTATGTGCGGATATTTCCTTTTCCACCATAGGCATCAAAGCGCTCCAAATATCCAACTGCAGATTCTACAAAAAGAGTGTTTCAAAACTGCTCTATCAAAGAAAGGTTCAACTCTGTGAGTTGAATGCACACATCACAAAGACGTTTCTGAGAATGCTTCTGCTCTAGTTTTTTTGTGAAGGTGTTTCCTTTTCCACCATAGGCCTCAAAGCGCTCCAAATATCCACTTGCAGATTCTTCAGAAAGAGTGTTTCAAAACTGCTCAATCATAGGAAAAGTTCAACTCTGTGAGTTGAATGCACACAACACAAAGAAGTTTCTGAGAATGCTTCTGCCTAGTTTTTATGTGAAGATATTTCCTTTTACACCATAGGCCTCAAACTGCTCCAAATATCCACTTGTGGATTCTACAAAAAGACTTTTTCAAAACTGCTCAATCAAAGGTAAGGTTCAACTCTGTGAGTTGAATGCACATAACACAAACAAGTTTCTGAGAATGCTGCTGTCTAGATTTTATGTGCGGATATTTCGTTTTCCACCATAGGCATCAAAGCGCTCCAAATATCCAACCGCAGATTGTACAAAAATAGTGTTTCAAAACTGCTCTATCAAAAAAAAAGTTTCAACTCTGTGAGTTGAATGCACACATCACAAAGAAGTTCCTGAGAATGCTTCTGCTCTAGTTTTTTTTGTGAAGGTGTTTCCTTTTCCACCATAGGCCTCAAAGCGCTACAAATATCCACTTGCAGATTCCGGAAAAAGAGTGTTTTAAAACTCCTCTATCAACATAAATGTTCAACTCTTTGAGTTGAATGCACTCATCACAAAGATATTTCTGAGAATGCTTCCGCCTAGTTTTTATGTGTAGGTATTTCCTTTTCCACCATAGGCCTCAAAGCACTCCAAATATCCACTTTCAGATTCTAGAAAAAGAGTGATTTAAAACTGTTCTATCAACAGAAAGGTTCGACTCTGTGAGTTGAATGCACTTATCACAAAGAAGTTTCTGAGAATGCTTCTGTCTAGTTTTTATGTGAAGATATTTCCTTTTCCACCATAAGCCTCAAAGCGCTCCAAATATCTACGTACAGATTCTACAAAAAGAGTTTCAAAACTGCTCTACAAAAGAAAGGTTCAACTCTGCGAGTTGAATTCACACATCACAAACAAGTTTCAGAGAATCCTTCTGTCTGGTTTTTATGTGAAGATATTTCCTTTTACACCATAGGCCTCAAACCGCTCCAAATATCCACTTGCAGATTCTGCAAAAAGACATTTTCAAAACTGCTCAATCAAAGGAAAGCTCAACACTGTGAGTTGAATGCACACAACACAAACAAGTTTCTGAGAATGCTGCTGTCTAGTTTTTATGTGCGGATATTTCCTTTTCCACCATAGGCATGAAAGCGCTCCAAATATCCAACTGCAGATTCTACAAAAAGAGTGTTTCAAAACTGCTCTATCAAAGAAAGGTTCAACTCTGTGAGTTGAATGCACACATCACAAAGACGTTTCTGAGAATGCTTCTGCTCTAGTTTTTTTGTGAAGGTGTTTCCTTTTCCACCATAGGCCTCAAAGCGCTCCAAATATCCACTTGCAGATTCTTCAGAAAGAGTGTTTCAAAACTGCTCAATCATAGGAAAAGTTCAACTCTGTGAGTTGAATGCACACAACACAAAGAAGTTTCTGAGAATGCTTCTGTCTAGTTTTTATGTGAAGATATTTCCTTTTACACCATAGGCCTCAAACTGCTCCAAATATCCACTTGTGGATTCTACAAAAAGACTTTTTCAAAACTGCTCAATCAAAGGAAAGGTTCAACTATCTGAGTTGAATGCACACAACAAAAACAAGTTTCTGAGAATGCTGCTGTCTAGATTTTATGTGCGGATATTTCGTTTTCCACCATAGGCATCAAAGCGCTACAAATATCCAACCGCAGATTGTACAAAAATAGTGTTTCAAAACTGCTCTATGAAAAAAAAAGGTTCAACTCTGTGAGTTGAATGCACACATCACAAAGAAGTTTCTGAGAATGCTTCTGCTCTAGTTTTTTTTGTGAAGGTGTTTCCTTTTCCACAGTAGGCCTCAAAGCGCTCCAAATATCCACTTTCAGATTCCTGAAAAAGAGTGTTTTAAAACTCCTCTATCAACATAAGTGTTCGACTCTGTGAGTTGAATGCACTCATCACAAAGATATTTCTGAGAATGCTTCTGCCTAGTATTTATGTGTAGGTATTTCCTTTTCCACCATAGGCCTCAAAGCACTCCAAATATCCACTTTCAGATTCTAGAAAAAGAGTGATTTAAAACTGCTCTATCAACAGAAAGGTTCGACTCTGTGAGTTGAATTCACTTATAACAAAGAAGTTTCTGAGAATGCTTCTGTCTAGTTTTTATGTGAAGATATTTCCTTTTCCACCATAAGCCTCAAAGCGCTCCAAATATCTACTTACAGATTCTGCACAAAGAGTTTCAAAACTGCTCTACAAAAGAAAGGTTCAACTCTGTGAGTTGAATTCACACATCACAAAGAAGTTTCAGAGAATGCTTCTGTCTAGTTTTTATGTGAAGATATTTCCTTTTACACCATAGGCCTCAAACTGCTCCAAATATCCACTTGCAGATTCTGCAAAAAGACATTTTCAAAACTGCTCAATCAAAGGAAAGCTCAACTCTGTGAGTTAAATGCACACAACACAAACAAGTTTCTGAGAATGCTGCTGTCTAGTTTTTATGGGCGGATATTTCCTTTTCCACCATATGCATCAAAGCGCTCCAAATATCCAACTGCAGATTCTACAAAAAGAGTGTTTCAAAACTGCTCTATCAAAGAAAGGTTCAACTCTGTGAGTTGAATGCACACATCACAAAGACGTTTCTGAGAATGCTTCTGCTCTAGTTTTTTTGTGAAGGTGTTTCCTTTTCCACCATAGGCCTCAAAGCGCTCCAAATATCCACTTGCAGATTCTTCAGAAAGAGTGTTTCAAAACTGCTCAATCATAGGAAAAGTTCAACTCTGTGAGTTGAATGCACACACCACAAAGAAGTTTCTGAGAATGCTTCTGTCTAGTTTTTATGTGAAGATATTTCCTTTTACACCATAGGCCTCAAACTGCTCCAAATATCCACTTGTGGATTCTACAAAAAGACTATTTCAAAACTGCTCAATCAAAGGAAAGGTTCAACTCTGTGAGCTGAATGCACACAACACAAACAAGTTTCTGAGAATGCTGCTGTCTAGATTTTATGTGCGGATATTTCGTTTTCCACCATAGGCATCAAAGCGCTCCAAATATCCAACCGCAGATTGTACAAAAATAGTGTTTCAAAACTGCTCTATCAAATAAAAAGGTTCAACTCTGTGAGTTGAATGCACACATCACAACGAAGTTTCTGAGAATGCTTCTGCTCTAGTTTTTTTTTGTGAAGGTGTTTCCTTTTCCACCATAGGCCTCAAAGCCCTCCAAATATCCACTTTCAGATTCCGGAAAAAGAGTGTTTTAAAACTCCTCTATCAACATAAATGTTCAACTCTGTGAGTTGAATGCACTCATCACAAAGATATTTCTGAGAATGCTTCCGCCTAGTTTTTATGTGTAGGTATTTCCTTTTCCACCATAGGCCTCAGAGCACTCCAAATATCCACTTTCAGATTCTAGAAAAAGAGTGATTTAAAACTGCTCTCTCAACAGAAAGGTTCGACTCTGTGAGTTGAATGCACTTATCACAAAGAAGTTTCTGAGAATGCTTCTGTCTAGTTTTTATGTGAAGATATTTCCTTTTCCACCATAAGCCTCAAAGCGCTCCAAATATCTACTTACACATTCTACAAAAAGAGTTTCAAAACTGCTCTACAAAAGAAAGGTTCAACTCTGTGAGTTGAATTCACACATCACAAAGAAGTTTCAGAGAATGCTTCTGTCTAGTTTTTATGTGAAGATATTTCCTTTTACACCATAGGCCTCAAACCGCTCCAAATATCCACTTGCAGATTCTGCAAAAAGACTTTTTCAAAACTGCTCAATCAAAGGAAAGGTCAACTCTGTGAGTTGAATGCACACAACACAAACAAGTTTCTGAGAATGCTGCTGTCTAGTTTTTATGTGCGGATATTTCCTTTTCCACCATAGGCATCAAAGCGCTCCAAATATCCAACTGCAGATTCTACAAAAAGAGTGTTTCAAAACTGCTCTATCAAAGAAAGGTTCAACTCTGTGAGTTGAATGCACACATCACAAAGACGTTTCTGAGAATGCTTCTGCTCTAGTTATTTTGTGAAGGTGTTTCCTTTTCCACCATAGGCCTCAAAGCGCTCCAAATATCCACTTGCAGATTCTTCAGAAAGAGTGTTTCAAAACTGCTCAATCATAGGAAAAGTTCAACTCTGTGAGTTGAATGCACACAACACAAAGAATTTTCTGAGAATGCTTCTGCTCTAGTTTTTTTGTGAAGATATTTCCTTTTACACCATAGGCCTCAAACTGCTCCAAATATCCACTTGTGGATTCTACAAAAAGACTTTTTCAAAACTGCTCAATCAAAGGAAAGGTTCAACTCTGTGAGTTGAATGCACACAACACAAACAAGTTTCTGAGAATGCTGCTCGTCTAGATTTTATGTGCGGATATTTCGTTTTCCACCATAGGCATCAAAGCGCTCCAAATATCCAACCGCAGATTGTACAAAAATAGTGTTTCAAAACTGCTCTATCAAAAAAAAAGGTTCAACTCTGTGAGTTGAATGCACACATCACAAAGAAGTTTCTGAGAATGCTTCTGCTCTAGTTTTTTTTGTGAAGGTGTTTCCCTTTCCACCATAGGCCTCAAAGCGCTCCAAATATCCACTTTCAGATTTCTGAAAAAGAGTGTTTTAAAACTCCTCTATCAACATAATTGTTCAACTCTGTGAGTTGAATGCACTCATCACAAAGATATTTCTGAGAATGCTTACGCCTAGTTTTTATGTGTAGGTATTTCCTTTTCCACCATAGGCCTCAAAGCACTCCAAATTTCCACTTTCAGATTCTAGAAAAAGAGTGATTTAAAACTGCTCTATCAACAGAAAGGTTCGACTCTGTGAGTAGAATGCACTTATCACAAAGAAGTTTCTGAGAATGCTTCTGTCTAGTTTTCATGTGAAGATATTTCCTTTTCCACCATAAGCCTCAAAGCGCTCCAAATATCTACTTACAGATTCTACAAAAAGAGTTTCAAAACTGCTCTACAAAAGAAAGGTTCAACCCTGTGAGTTGAATTCACACATCACAAAGAAGTTTCAGAGAATGCTTCTGTCTAGTTTTTATGTGAAGATATTTCCTTTTACACCATAGGCCTCAAACCGCTCCAAATATCTACTTGCAGATTCTGCAAAAAGACTTTTTCAAAACTGCTCAATCAAAGGAAAGGTCAACTCTGTGAGTTGAATGCACACAACACAAACAAGTTTCTGAGAATGCTGCTGTCTAGTTTTTATGTGCGGATATTTCCTTTTCCACCATAGGCATCAAAGCGCTCCAAATCTCCAACTGCAGATTCTACAAAAAGAGTGTTTCAAAACTGCTCTATCAAAGAGAGGTTCAACTCTGTGAGTTGAATGCACACATCACAAAGACGTTTCTGAGAATGCTTCTGCTCTAGTTTTTTTGTGAAGGTGTTTCCTTTTCCACCGTAGGCCTCAAAGCGCTCCAAATATCCACTTGCAGATTCTTCAGAAAGAGTGTTTCAAAACTGCTCAATCATAGGAAAAGTTCAACTCTGTGAGTTGAATGCACACAACACAAAGAAGTTTCTGAGAATGCTTCTGTCTAGTTTTTATGTGAAGATATTTCCTTTTACACCATAGGCCTCAAACTGCTCCAAATATCCACTTGTGGATTCTACAAAAAGACTATTTCAAAACTGCTCAATCAAAGGAAAGGTTCAACTCTGTGAGTTGAATGCACACAACACAAACAAGTTTCTGAGAATGCTGCTGTCTAGATTTTATGTGCGGATATTTCGTTTTCCACCATAGGCATCAAAGCGCTCCAAATATCCAACCGCAGATTGTACAAAAATAGTGTTTCAAAACTGCTCTATCAAAAAAAAAGGTTCAACTCTGTGAATTGAATGCACACAACACAAAGAACTTTCTGAGAATGCTTCTGCTCTAGTTTTTTTTGTGAAGGTGTTTCCTTTTCCACCATAGGCCTCAAAGCGCTCCAAATATCCACTTTCAGATTCCTGAAAAAGAGTGTTTTAAAACTCCTCTATCAACATAAATGTTCAACTCTGTGAGTTGAATGCACTCATCACAAAGATATTTCTGAGAATGCTTACGCCTAGTTTTTATGTGTAGGTATTTCCTTTTCCACCATAGGCCTCAAAGCACTCCAAATATCCACTTTCAGATTCTAGAAAAAGAGTGATTTAAAACTGCTCTATCAACAGAAAGGTTCGACTCTGTGAGTTGAATGCACTTATCACAAAGAAGTTTCTGAGAATGCTTCTGTCTAGTTTTTATGTGAAGATATTTCCTTTTCCACTATAAGCCTCAAAGCGCTCCAAATATCTACTTGCAGATTCTACAAAAAGAGTGTTTCAAAACTGCTCTACGAAAGAAAGGTTCAACTCTGTGAGTTGAATTCACACATCGCAAAGAACTTTCTGAGAATACTTCTCTCTAGTTTTTATGTGAAGATATTTCCTTTTACACCATAGGCCTCAAACCGCTCCAAATATCCACTTGCAGATTCTGCAAAAAGACTTTTTCAAAACTGCTCAATCAAAGGAAACGTCAACTCTGTGAGTTGAATGCACACATCACAAACAAGTTTCTGAGAATGCTGCTGTCTAGTTTTTATGTGCGGATATTTCCTTTTCCTCCATAGGCATCAAAGCGCTCCAAATATCCAACTGCAGATTCTACAAAAAGAGTGTTTCAAAACTGCTCTATCAAAGAAAGGTTCAACTCTGTGAGTTGAATGCACACATCACAAAGACGTTTCTGAGAATGTTTCTGCTCCAGTTTTTTTGTGAAGGTGTTTCCTTTTCCACCATAGGCCTCAAAGCGCTCCAAATATCCACTTGCAGATTCTACAAAAAGAGTGTTTCAAAACTGCTCAATCAAAGGAAAAATACAACTCTGAGAGTTGAATGCACACAACACAAATTAGTTACTGACAATGCTTCTGCCTAGTTTTTATTTGAAGATATTTCCATTTCCACCGTAGGCCTCAAAGCACTCCAAATAATCACTGGCAGATACTACAAAAAGAGTGTTTCAAAACTGCTCTATCAATAGAAAGGTTCAACTATGTGAGTTGAATGCACCTAGCACAAAGAAGTTTCTGAGAATGCTTCTGTCTAGTTTTTATGTGAAGATATTTCCTTTTCCAACATAGGCCTCAAAGCACTCCAAATATCCACTTTCGGATTCCAGAAACAGAGTGTTTTAAAACTGCTCTATCAACAGAAAGGTCCAACTCTGTGAGTTGAATGCACTCATCACAAAGAAGTTTCTGAGAATGCTTCTGTCTAGTTTGTATGTGAAGATATTTCCTTTTGCACCATAAGCCTCAAAGCGCTCCAAATATCTACTTGCAGATTCTACAAAAAGAGTGTTTCAAAACTGCTCTACGAAAGAAAGGTTCAACTCTGTGAGTTGAATGCACACAACACAAACAAGTTTCGGAGAATGCTGCTGTCTAGTTTATATGTGTGGATATTTCCTTTCCCACCATAGGCATCAAAGAGCTCCAAATATCCAATTGCAGATTCTACAAAAAGAGTGTTTCAAAACTGCTCTATCAAAGAAAGGTTCAACTCTGTGAGTTGAATGCACAAATCACAAAGAAGTTTCTGAGAATGCTTCTGCTCTAGTTATTTTGTGAAGGTGTTTCCTTTTCCACTATAGGCCTCAAAGCACTCCAAATATCCACTTTCCGATTCCAGAAAAAGAGTGTTTTAAAACTGCTCTATCAACAGAAAGGTTTATCTCTGTGAGTTGAATGCACTTATCACAAAGAAGTTTCTGAGAATGCTTCTGTCTAGTTTGTATGTGAAGATATTTCCTTTTCCATCATAGGCTTCAATGTGCTTCAAATATCCACTTGTAGATTCTACAAAAAGACTTTTTCAAAACTGCTCAATCAAAGGAAAGGTTCAACTCTGTGAGTTGAATGCACACAACACAAACAAGTTTCTGAGAATGCTGCTATCTACTTTTTATGTGCGGATATTTCCTTTCCCACCATAGGCATCAAAGAGCTCCAAATATCCAATTGCAGATTCTACAAAAAAAGTGTTTCAAAACTGCTCTACAAAAGAAAGGTTCAACTCTGTGAGTTGAATGCACACATCACAAAGAAGTTTCAGAGAATGCTTCTGTCTAGTTTCTATGTGAAGATATTTCCTTTTACACCATAGGCCTCAAAGCCTCCAAATATCCACTTGCAGATTCTGCAAAAGGACTTTTTCAAAACTGCTCAATCAAAGGAAAGTTTCAACTCTGTGAGATGAATGCACACAACACAAACAAGTTTCTGAGAATGCTGCTGTCTAGTTTTTATGTGCGGATATTTCCTTTTCCACCATAGGCATCAAAGAGCTCCAAATATCCAATTGCAGATTCTACAAAAAGAGTGTTTCAAAACTGCTCTATCAAAGAAAGGTTCAACTCTGTGAGTTGAATGCACACATCACAAAGAAGTTTCTGAGAATGCTTCTGCTCTAGTTTTTTTGTGAAGGTGTTTCTTTTTCCACCACAGGCCTCAAAGCGCTCCAAATATCCACTTGCAGATTCTTCAGAAAGAGTGTTTCAAAACTGCTCAATCATAGGAAAAGTTCAACTCTGTGAGTTGAATGCACACAACACAAAGAAGTTTCTGAGAATGCTTCTGTCTAGTTTTTATGTGAAGATATTTCCTTTTACACCATAGGCCTCAAACTGCTCCAAATATCCACTTGTGGATTCTACAAAAAGACTTTTTCAAAACTGCTCAATCAAAGGAAAGGTTCAACTCTGTGAGTTGAATGCACACAACACAAACAAGTTTCTGAGAATGCTGCTGTCCAGATTTTATGTGCGGATATTTTGTTTTCCACCATAGGCATCAAAGCGCTCCAAATATCCAAACGCAGATTGTACAAAAATAGTGTTTCAAAGCTGCTCTATCAAATAAAAAGGTTCAACTCTGTGAGTTGAATGCACACAATACAAGAAGTTTCTGAGAATGCTTCTGCTCTAGTTTTTTTTGTGAAGGTGTTTCCTTTTCCACCATAGGCCTCAAAGCGCTCCAAATATCCACTTTCAGATTCCTGAAAAAGAGTGTTTTAAAACTCCTCTATCAACATAAGTGTTCAACTCTGTGAGTTGAATGCACTCATCACAAAGATACTTCTGAGAATGCTTACGCCTAGTTTTTATGTGTAGGTATTTCCTTTTCCACCATAGGCCTCAAAGCACTCCAAATATCCACTTTCAGATTCTAGAAATAGAGTGATTTAAAACTGCTCTATCCACAGAAAGGTTCGACTCTGTGAGTTGAATGCACTTATCACAAAGAAGTTTCTGAGAATGCTTCTGTCTAGTTTTTATGTGAAGATATTTCCTTTTCCACCATAAGCCTCAAAGCACTCCAAATATCTACTTACAGATTCTACAAAAAGAGTTTCAAAACTGCTCTACAAAAGAAAGGTTCAACTCTGTGAGTTGAATTCACACATCACAAAGAAGTTTCAGAGAATGCTTCCGTCTAGATTTTATGTGAAGATATTTCCTTTTACACCATAGGCCTCAAACCGCTCCAAATATCCACTTGCAGATTCTGCAAAAAGACTTTTTCAAAACTGCTCAATCAAAGGAAAGGTTCAACTCTGTGAGTTGAATGCACACAACACAAACAAGTTTCTGAGAATGCTGCTGTCTAGTTTTTATGGGCGGATATTTCCTTTTCCACCATAGGCATCAAAGCGCTCCAAATATCCAACTGCAGATTCTACAAAAAGAGTGTTTCAAAACTGCTCTATCAAAGAAAGATTCAACTCTGTGAGTTGAATGCACACATCACAAAGACGTTTCTGAGAATGCTTCTGCTCTAGTTTTTTTTGTGAAGGTGTTTGCTTTTCCACCATAGACCTCAAAGCACGTCCAAATATCCACTTGCAGATTCTTCAGAAAGAGTGTTTCAAAACTGCTCAATCATAGGAAAAGTTCAACTTTGTGAGTTGAATGCACACAACACAAAGAAGTTTCTGAGAATGCTTCTGTCTAGTTTGTATGTGAAGATATTTCCTTTTCCATCATAGGCTTCAATGTGCTCCAAATATCCACTTGTAGATTCTACAGAAAGAGTGTTTCAAAACTGCTCTATCAAAAGAAATGTTCAACTATGTGAATTGAATGAACTCATCACAAAGAAGTTTCTGAGAATGCTGCTGTCTAGATTTTATCTGCGGATATTTCGTTTTCCACCATAGGCATCAAAGCCCTCCAAATATCCAACCGCAGATTGTACAAAAATAGTGTTTCAAAACTGCTCTATCAAAAAAAAAGGTTCAACTCTGTGAGTTGAATGCACACATCACAAAGAAGTTTCTGAGAATGCTTCTGCTCTAGTTTTTTTTGTGAAGGTGTTTCCTTTTCCACCATAGGCCTCAAAGCGCTCCAAATATCCACTTTCAGATTCCTGAAAAAGAGTCTTTTAAAAGTCCTCTATCAACATAAATGTTCAACTCTGTGAGTTGAATGCACTCATCACAAAGATATTTCTGAGAATGCTTCCGCCTAGTTTTTATGTGTAGGTATTTCCTTTTCCACCATAGGCCTCAAAGCACTCCAAATATCCACTTTCAGATTCTAGAAAAAGAGTGATTTAAAACTGCTCTATCAACAGAAAGGTTCGACTCTGTGAGTTGAATGCACTTATCACGAAGAAGTTTCTGAGAATGCTTCTGTCTAGTTTTTATGTGAAGATATTTCCTTTTCCACCATAAGCCTCAAAGCGCTCCAAATATCTACTTACAGATTCTACAAAAAGAGTTTCAAAACTGCTCTACAAAAGAAAGGTTCAACTCTGCGAGTTGAATTCACACATCACAAATAAGTTTCAGAGAATGCTTCTGTCTAGTTTTTATGTGAAGATATTTCCTTTTACACCATAGGCCTCAAACCGCTCCAAATATCCACTTGCAGATTCTGCAAAAAGACTTTTTCAAAACTGCTCAATCAAAGGAAAGGTCAACTCTGTGAGTTGAATGCACACAACACAAACAAGTTTCTGAGAATGCTGCTGTCTAGTTTTTATGTGCGGATATTTCCTTTTCCACCATAGGCATCAAAGCGCTCCAAATATCCAACTGCAGATTCTACAAAAAGAGTGTTTCAAAACTGCTCTATCAAAGAAAGGTTCAACTCTGTGAGTTGAATGCACACATCACAAAGACGTTTCTGAGAATGCTTCTGCTCTAGTTTTTTTGTGAAGGTGTTTCTTTTTCCACCACAGGCCTCAAAGCGCTACAAATATCCACTTGCAGATTCTTCAGAAAGAGTGTTTCAAAACTGCTCAATCATAGGAAAAGTTCAACTCTGTGAGTTGAATGCACACAACACAAAGAAGTTTCTGAAAATGCTTCTGTCTAGTTTTTATGTGAAGATATTTCCTTTTACACCATAGGCCTCAAACTGCTCCAAATATCCACTTGTGGATTCTACAAAAAGACTTTTTCAAAACTGCTCAATCAAAGGAAAGGTTCAACTCTGTGAGTTGAATGCACACAACACAAACAAGTTTCTGAGAATGCTGCTGTCTAGATTTCATGTGCGGATATTTCGTTTTCCACCATAGGCATCAAAGCGCTCCAAATATCCAACCGCAGATTGTACAAAAATAGTGTTTCAAAACTGCTCTATCAAAAAAAAAGTTTCAACACTGTGAGTTGAATGCACACATCACAAAGAAGTTTCTGAGAATGCTTCTGGTCTAGTTTTTTTTGTGAAGGTGTTTCCTTTTCCACCAGAGGCCTCAAAGCACTCCAAATATCCACTTTCAGATTCTAGAAAAAGAGTGATTTAAAACTGCTCTATCAACAGAAAGGTTCGACTCTGTGAGTTGAATGCACTTATCACAAAGAAGTTTCTGAGAATGCTTCCGCCTAGTTTTTATGTGTAGGTATTTCCTTTTCCACCATAGGCCTCAAAGCACTCCAAATATCCACTTTCAGATTCTAGAAAAAGAGTGATTTAAAACTGCTCTATCAACAGAAAGGTTCGACTCTGTGAGTTGAATGCACTTATCACAAAGAAGTTTCTGAGAATGCTTCTGTCTAGTTTTTATGTGAAGATATTTCCTTTTCCACCATAAGCCTCAAAGCGCTCCAAATATCTACTTACAGATTCTACAAAAAGAGTTTCAAAACTGCTCTACAAAAGAAAGGTTCAACTCTGTGAGTTGAATTCACACATCACAAAGAAGTTTCAGAGAATGCTTCTGTCTAGATTTTATGTGAAGATATTTCCTTTTACACCATAGGCCTCAAACCGCTCCAAATATCCACTTGCAGATTCTGCAAAAAGACTTTTTCAAAACTGCTCAATCAAAGGAAAGGTCAACTCTGTGAGTTGAATGCACACAACACAAACAAGTTTCTGAGAATGCTGCTGTCTAGTTTTTATGTGCGGATATTTCCTTTTCCACCATAGGCATCAAAGCGCTCCAAATATCCAACTGCAGATTCTACAAAAAGAGTGTTTCAAAACTGCTCTATCAAAGAAAGGTTCAACTCTGTGAGTTGAATGCACACATCACAAAGACGTTTCTGAGAATGCTTCTGCTCTAGTTTTTTTGTGAAGGTGTTTCCTTTTCCACCATAGGCCTCAAAGCGCTCCAAATATCCACTTGCAGATTCTTCAGAAAGAGTGTTTCAAAACTGCTCAATCATAGGAAAAGTTCAACTCTGTGAGTTGAATGCACACAACACAAAGAAGTTTCTGAGAATGCTTCTGTCTAGTTTTTATGTGAAGATATTTCCTTTTACACCATAGGCCTCAAACTGCTCCAAATATCCACTTGTGGATTCTACAAAAAGACTATTTCAAAACTGCTCAGTCAAAGGAAAGGTTCAACTCTGTGAGCTGAATGCACACAACACAAACAAGTTTCTGAGAATGCTGCTGTCTAGATTTTATGTGCGGATATTTCGTTTTCCACCATAGGCATCAAAGCGCTCCAAATATCCAACCGCAGATTGTACAAAAATAGTGTTTCAAAACTGCTCTATCAAATAAAAAGTTTCAACTCTGTGAGTTGAATGCACACATCACAACGAAGTTTCTGAGAATGCTTCTGCTCTAGTTTTTTTTGTGAAGGTGTTTCCTTTTCCACCATAGGCCTCAAAGCGCTCCAAATATCCACTTTCAGATTCCTGAAAAAGAGTGTTTTAAAACTCCTCTATCAACATAAGTGTTCAACTCTGTGAGTTGAATGCACTCATCACAAAGATACTTCTGAGAATGCTTCCGCCTAGTTTTTATGTGTAGGTATTTCCTTTTCCACCATAGGCCTCAGAGCACTCCAAATATCCACTTTCAGATTCCAGAAAAAGAGTGATTTAAAACTGCTCTATCAACAGAAAGGTTCGACTCTGTGAGTTGAATGCACTTATCACAAAGAAGTTTCTGAGAAAGCTTCTGTCTAGTTTTTATGTGAAGATATTTCCTTTTCCACCATAAGCCTCAAAGCGCTCCAAATATCTACTTACAGATTCTACAAAAAGAGTTTCAAAACTGCTCTACAAAAGAAAGGTTCAACTCTGTGAGTTGAATTCACACATCACAAAGAAGTTTCAGAGAATGCTTCTGTCTAGTTTTTATGTGAAGATATTTCCTTTTACACCATAGGCCTCAAACCGCTCCAAATATCCACTTGCAGATTCTGCAAAAAGACTTTTTCAAAACTGCTCAATCAAAGGAAAGCTCAACTCTGTGAGTTGAATGCACACAACACAAAAAAGTTTCTGAGAATGCTGCTGTCTAGTTTTTATGGGCGGATATTTCCTTTTCCACCATAGGCATCAAAGCGCTCCAAATATCCAACTGCAGATTCTACAAAAAGAGTGTTTCAAAACTGCTCTATCAAAGAAAGGTTCAACTCTGTGAGTTGAATGCACACATCACAAAGACGTTTCTGAGAATGCTTCTGCTCTAGTTTTTTTGTGAAGGTGTTTCCTTTTCCACCATAGGCCTCAAAGCGCTCCAAATATCCACTTGCAGATTCTTCAGAAAGAGTGTTTCAAAACTGCTCAATCATAGGAAAAGTTCAACTCTGTGAGTTGAATGCACACAACACAAAGAAGTTTCTGAGAATGCTTCTGTCTAGTTTTTATGTGAAGATATTTCCTTTTACACCATAGGCCTCAAACTGCTCCAAATATCCACTTGTGGATTCTACAAAAAGACTTTTTCAAAACTGCTCAATCAAAGGAAAGGTTCAACTCTGTGAGTTGAATGCACACAACACAAACAAGTTTCTGAGAATGTTGCTGTCTAGATTTTATGTGCGGATATTTCGTTTTCCACCATAGGCATCAAAGCGCTCCAAATATCCAACCGCAGATTGTACAAAAATAGTGTTTCAAAACTGCTCTATCAAAAAAAAAGGTTCAACTCTGTGAGTTGAATGCACACATCACAAAGAAGTTCCTGAGAATGCTTCTGCTCTAGTTATTTTTGTGATGGTGTTTCCTTTTCCACCACAGGCCTCAAAGCACTCCAAATATCCACTTTCAGATTCCTGAAAAAGAGTGTTTTAAAACTCCTCTATCAACATAAGTGTTCAACTCTGTGAGTTGAATGCAGTCATCACAAAGATATTTCTGAGAATGCTTCCGCCTAGTTTTTATGTGTAGGTATTTCCTTTTCCACCATAGGCCTCAAAGCACTCCAAATATCCACTTTCAGATTCTAGAAAAAGAGTGATTTAAAACTGCTCTATCAACAGAAAGGTTCGACTCTGTGAGTTGAATGCACTTATCACAAAGAAGTTTGCTGAGAATGCTTCTGTCTAGTTTTTATGTGAAGATATTTCCTTTTCCACCATAAGCCTCAAAGCACTCCAAATATCCACTTTCAGATTCTAGAAAAAGAGTGATTTAAAACTGCTCTATCAACAGAAAGGTTCGACTCTGTGAGTTGAATGCACTTATCACATAGAAGTTTCAGAGAATGCTTCTGTCTAGTTTTTATGTGAAGATATTTCCTTTTACACCATAGGCCTCAAACTGCTCCAAATATCCACTTGTGGATTCTACAAAAAGACTTTTTCAAAACTACTCAATCAAAGGAAAGGTTCAACTCTGTGAGCTGAATGCACACAACACAAACAAGTTTCTGAGAATGCTGCTGTCTAGATTTTATGTGCGGATATTTCGTTTTCCACCATAGGCATCAAAGCGCTCCAAATATCCAACCGCAGATTGTACAAAAATACTGTTTCAAAACTGCTCTGTCAAAAAAAAAGGTTCAACTCTGTGAGTTGAATGCACACATCACAAAGAAGTTTCTGAGAATGCTTCTGCTCTAGTTTTTTTTGTGAAGGTGTTTCCTTTTCCACCACAGGCCTCAAAGCGCTCCAAATATCCACTTTCAGATTCCTGAAAAAGAGTGTTTTAAAACTCCTCTATCAACATAAGTGTTCAACTCTGTGAGTTGAATGCACTCATCACAAAGATATTTCTGAGAATGCTTACGCCTAGTTTTTATGTGTAGGTATTTCCTTTTCCACCATAGGCCTCAAAGCACTCCAAATATCCACTTTCAGATTCTAGAAAAAGAGTGATTTAAAACTGCTCTATCCACAGAAAGGTTCGACTCTGTGAGTTGAATGCACTTATCACAAAGAAGTTTCTGAGAATGCTTCTGTCTAGTTTTTATGTGAAGATATTTCCTTTTCCACCATAAGCCTCAAAGCACTCCAAATATCTACTTACAGATTCTACAAAAAGAGTTTCAAAACTGCTCTACAAAAGAAAGGTTCAACTCTGTGAGTTGAATTCACACATCACAAAGAAGTTTCAGAGAATGCTTCTGTCTAGATTTTATGTGAAGATATTTCCTTTTACACCATAGGCCTCAAACCGCTCCAAATATCCACTTGCAGATTCTGCAAAAAGACTTTTTCAAAACTGCTCAATCAAAGGAAAGCTCAACTCTGTGAGTTGAATGCACACAACACAAACAAGTTTCTGAGAATGCTGCTGTCTAGTTTTTATGTGCGGATATTTCCTTTTGCACCATAGGCATCAAAGCGCTCCAAATATCCAACTGCAGATTCTACAAAAAGAGTGTTTCAAAACTGCTCTATCAAAGAAAGGTTCAACTCTGTGAGTTGAATGCACACATCACAAAGACGTTTCTGAGAATGCTTCTGCTCTAGTTTTTTTGTGAAGGTGTTTCCTTTTCCACCGTAGGCCTCAAAGCGCTCCAAATATCCACTTGCAGATTCTTCAGAAAGAGTGTTTCAAAACTGCTCAATCATAGGAAAAGTTCAACTCTGTGAGTTGAATGCACACAACACAAAGAAGTTTCTGAGAATGCTTTCTGTCTAGTTTTTATGAAGATATTTCCTTTTACACCATAGGCCTCAAACTGCTCCAAATATCCACTTGTGGATTCTACAAAAAGACTTTTTCAAAACTGCTCAATCAAAGGAAAGGTTCAACTCTGTGAGTTGAATGCACACAACACAAACAAGTTTCTGAGAATGCTGCTGTCTAGATTTTATGTGCGGATATTTCGTTTTCCACCATAGGCATCAAAGAGCTCCAAACATCCAACCGCACATTGTACAAAAATAGTGTTGCAAAACTGCTCTATCAAAAAAAAAGGTTCAACTCTGTGAGTTGAATGCACACATCACAAAGAAGTTTCTGAGAATGCTTCTGCTCTAGTTTTTTTTGTCAAGGTGTTTCCTTTTCCACCATAGGCCTCAAAGCGCTCCAAATATCCACTTTCAGATTCCTGAAAAAGTGTGTTTTAAAACTCCTCTATCAACATAAATGTTCAACTCTGTGAGTTGAATGCACTCATCACAAAGATATTTCTGAGAATGCTTCTGCCTAGTTTTTATGTGTAGGCATTTCCTTTTCCACCATAGGCCTCAGAGCACTCCAAATATCCACTTTCAGATTCTAGAAAAAGAGTGATTTAAAACTGCTCTATCAACAGAAAGGTTCGACTCTGTGAGTTGAATGAACTTATCACAAAGAAGTTTCTGAGAATGCTTCTGTCTAGTTTTTATGTGAAGATATTTCCTTTTCCTCCATAAGCCTCAAAGCACTCCAAATATCTACTTACAGATTCTACAAAAAGAGTTTCAAAACTGCTCTACAAAAGAAAGGTTCAACTCTGTGAGTTGAATTCACACATCACAAAGAAGTTTCAGAGAATGCTTCTCTCTAGTTTTTATGTGAAGATATTTCCTTTTACACCATAGGCCTCAAACCGCTCCAAATATCCACTTGCAGATTCTGCAAAAAGACTTTTTCAAAACTGCTCAATCAAAGGAAAGCTCAACTCTGTGAGTTGAATGCACACAACACAAACAAGTTTCTGAGAATGCTGCTGTCTAGTTTTTATGTGCGGATATTTCCTTTTCCACCATAGGCATCAAAGCGCTCCAAATATCCAACTGCAGATTCTACAAAAAGAGTGTTTCAAAACTACTCTATCAAACAAAGGTTCAACTCTGTGAGTTGAATGCACACATCACAAAGACGTTTCTGAGAATGCTTCTGCTCTAGTTTTTTTGTGAAGGTGTTTCCTTTTCCACCATAGGCCTCAAAGCGCTCCAAATATCCACTTGCAGATTCTTCAGAAAGAGTGTTTCAAAACTGCTCAATCATAGGAAAAGTTCAACTCTGTGAGTTGAATGCACACAACACAAAGAAGTTTCTGAGAATGCTTCTGTCTAGTTTTTATGTGAAGATATTTCCTTTTACACCATAGGCCTCAAACTGCTCCAAATATCCACTTGTGGATTCTACAAAAAGACTTTTTCAAAACTGCTCAATCAAAGGAAAGGTTCAACTCTGTGAGTTGAATGCACACAACACAAACAAGTTTCTGAGAATGCTGCTGTCTAGATTTTATGTGCGGATATTTCGTTTTCCACCATAGGCATCAAAGCGCTCCAAATATCCAACCGCAGATTGTACAAAAATAGTGTTTCAAAACTGCTCTATCAAAAAAAAAGGTTCAACTCTGTGAGTTGAATGCACACATCACAAAGAAGTTCCTGAGAATGCTTCTGCTCTAGTTTTTTTTTGTGAAGGTGTTTCCTTTTCCACCATAGGCCTCAAAGCGCTCCAAATATCCACTTTCAGATTCCTGAAAAAGAGTGTTTTAAAACTCCTCTATCAACATAAATGTTCAACTCTGTGAGTTGAATGCAGTCATCACAAAGATATTTCTGAGAATGCTTCCGCCTAGTTTTTATGTGTAGGTATTTCCTTTTCCACCATAGGCCTCAGAGCACTCCAAATATCCACTTTCAGATTCTAGAAAAAGAGTGATTTAAAACTGCTCTATCAACAGAAAGGTTCGACTCTGTGAGTTGAATGCACTTATCAGAAAGATGTTTCTGAGAATGCTTCTGTCTAGTTTTTATGTGAAGATATTTCCTTTTCCACCATAAGCCTCAAAGCGCTCCAAATATCTACTTACAGATTCTACAAAAAGAGTTTCAAAACTGCTCTACAAAAGAAAGGTTCAACTCTGTGAGTTGAATTCACACATCACAAAGAAGTTTCAGAGAATGCTTCCGTCTAGATTTTATGTGAAGATATTTCCTTTTACACCATAGGCCTCAAACCGCTCCAAATATCCACTTGCAGATTCTGCAAAAAGACTTTTTCAAAACTGCTCAATCAAAGGAAAGGTTCAACTCTGTGAGTTGAATGCACACAACACAAACAAGTTTCTGAGAATGCTGCTGTCTAGTTTTTATGTGCGGATATTTCCTTTTCCACCATAGGCATCAAAGCGCTCCAAATATCCAACTGCAGATTCTACAAAAAGAGTGTTTCAAAACTGCTCTATCAAAGAAAGTTTCAACTCTGTGAGTTGAATGCACACATCACAAAGACGTTTCTGAGAATGCTTCTTCTCTAGTTTTTTTTGTGAAGATGTTTCCTTTTCCACCATAGGCCTCAAAGCGCTCCAAATATCCACTTGCAGATTCTTCAGAAAGAGTGTTTCAAAACTGCTCAATCATAGGAAAAGTTCAACTCTGTGAGTTGAATGCACACAACACAAAGAAGTTTCTGAGAATGCTTCTGTCTAGTTTTTATGTGAAGATATTTCCTTTTACACCATAGGCCTCAAACTGCTCCAAATATCCACTTGTGGATTCTTCAAAAAGACTTTTTCAAAACTGCTCAATCAAAGGAAAGTTTCAACTCTGTGAGTTGAATGCACACAACACAAACAAGTTTCTGAGAATGCTGCTGTCTAGATTTTATGTGCGGATATTTCGTTTTCCACCATAGGCATCAAAGCGCTCCAAATGTCCAACCGCAGATTGTACCAAAATTGTGTTTCAAAACTGCTCTATCAAAAAAAAAGGTTCAACTCTGTGAGTTGAATGCACACATCACAAAGAAGTTTCTGAGAATGCTTCTGCTCTAGTTTTTTTTTGTGATGGTGTTTCCTTTTCCACCATAGGCCTCAAAGCGCTCCAAATATCCACTTTCAGATTCCTGAAAAAGAGTGTTTTAAAACTCCTCTATCAACATAATTGTTCAACTCTGTGAGTTGAATGCACTCACCACAAAGATATTTCTGAGAATGCTTCCTCCTATTTTTTATGTGTAGGTATTTCCTTTTCCACCATAGGCCTCAAAGCACTCCAAATATCCACTTTCAGATTCTAGAAAAAGAGTGATTTAAAACTGCTCTATCAACAGAAAGGTTCGACTCTGTGAGTTGAATGCACTTATCACAAAGAAGTTTCTGAGAATGCTTCTGTCTAGTTTTTATGTGAAGATATTTCCTTTTCCTCCATAAGCCTCAAAGCGCTCCAAATATCTACTTACAGATTCTACAAAAAGAGTTTCAAACCTGCTCTACAAAAGAAAGGTTCAACTCTGTGAGTTGAATTCACACATCACAAAGAAGTTTCAGAGAATGCTTCTGTCTAGTTTTTATGTGAAGATATTTCCTTTTACACCATAGGCCTCAAACCGCTCCAAATATCCACTTGCAGATTCTGCAAAAAGACTTTTTCAAAACTGCTCAATCAAAGGAAAGGTCAACTCTGTGAGTTGAATGCACACAACACAAACAAGTTTCTGAGAATGCTGCTGTCTAGTTTTTATGTGCGGATATTTCCTTTTCCACCATAGGCATCAAAGCGCTCCAAATATCCAACTGCAGATTCTACAAAAAGAGTGTTTCAAAACTGCTCTATCAAAGAAAGGTTCAACTCTGTAAGTTGAATGCACACATCACAAAGACGTATCTGAGAATGCTTCTGCTCTAGTTTTTTTGTGAAGGTGTTTCCTTTTCCACCATAGGCCTCAATGCGCTCCAAATATCCACTTGCAGATTCTTCAGAAAGAGTGTTTCAAAACTGCTCAATCATAGGAAAAGTTCAACTCTGTGAGTTGAATGCACACAACACAAAGAAGTTTCTGAGAATGCTTCTGTCTAGTTTTTATGTGAAGATATTTCCTTTTACACCATAGGCCTCAAACTGCTCCAAATATCCACTTGTGGATTCTACAAAAAGACTTTTTCAAAACTGCTCAATCAAAGGAAAGGTTCAACTCTGTGAGTTGAATGCACACAACACAAACAAGTTTCTGAGAATGCTGCTGTCTAGATTTTATGTGCGGATATTTCGTTTTCCACCATAGGCATCAAAGAGCTCCAAACATCCAACCGCACATTGTACAAAAATAGTGTTGCAAAACTGCTCTATCAAAAAAAAAGGTTCAACTCTGTGAGTTGAATGCACACATCACAAAGAAGTTTCTGAGAATGCTTCTGCTCTAGTTTTTTTGTGAAAGTGTTTCCTTTTCCACCATAGGCCTTAAAGCGCTCCAAATATCCACTTTGAGATTCCAGAAAAAGAGTGTTTTAAAACTCCTCTATCAAAGAAATGATCAACTCCGTGAGTTGAGTGCACTCATCACAAAGATATTTCTGAGAATGCTTACGCCTAGTTTTTATGTGTAGGTATTTCCTTTTCCACCATAGGCCTCAAAGCACTCCAAATATCCACTTTCAGATTCTAGAAAAAGAGTGATTTAAAACTGCTCTATCAACAGAAAGGATCGACTCTGTGAGTTAAATGCACTTATCACAAAGAAGTTTCTGAGAATGCTTCTGTCTAGTTTTTATGTGAAGATATTTCCTTTTCCACCATAAGCCTCAAAGCGCTCCAAATATCTACTTACAGATTCTACAAAAAGAGTTTCAAAACTGCTCTACAAAAGAAAGGTTCAACTCCGTGAGTTGAATTCACACATCAGAAAGAAGTTTCAGAGAATGCTTCTGTCTAGTTTTTATGTGAAGATATTTCCTTTTACACCATAGGCCTCAAACCGCTCCAAATATCCACTTGCAGATTCTGCAAAAAGACTTTTTCAAAACTGCTCAATCAAAGGAAAGGTCAACTCTGTGAGTTGAATGCACACAACACAAACAAGTTTCTGACAATGCTGCTGTCTAGTTTTTATGTGCGGATATTTCCTTTTCCACCATAGGCATCAAAGAGCTCCAAATATCCAATTGCAGATTCTACAAAAAGAGTGTTTCAAAACTGCTCTATCAAAGAAAGGTTCAACTCTGTGAGTTGAATGCACACATCACAAAGAATTTTCTGAGAATGTTTCTGCTCTAGTTTTTTTGTGAAGGTGTTTCCTTTTCCACCATAGGCCTCAAAGCGCTCCAAATATCCACTTGCAGATTCTTCAGAAAGAGTGTTTCAAAACTGCTCAATCATAGGAAAAGTTCAACTCTGTGAGTTGAATGCACACAACACAAAGAAGTTTCTGAGAATGCTTCTGTCTAGTTTTTATGTGAAGATATTTCCTTTTACACCATAGGCCTCAAACTGCTCCAAATATCCACTTGTGGATTCTACAAAAAGACTATTTCAAAACTGCTCAGTCAAAGGAAATGTTCAACTCTGTGAGCTGAATGCACACAACACAAACAAGATTCTGAGAATGCTGCTGTCTAGATTTTATGTGCGGATATTTCGTTTTCCACCATAGGCATCAAAGCGCTCGAAATATCCAACCGCAGATTGTACAAAAATAGTGTTTCAAAACTGCTCTATCAAAAAAAAAGGTTCAACTCTGTGAGCTGAATGCACACAACACAAACAAGATTCTGAGAATGCTTCTGTCTAGTTTTTACGTGAAGATATTTCCTTTTACACCATAGGACTCAAACCGCTCCAAATATCCACTTGCAGATTCCTGAAAAAGAGTGTTTTAAAACTCCTCTATCAACATAAATGTTCAACTCTGTGAGTTGAATGCACTCATCACAAAGATATTTCTGAGAATGCTTCCGCCTAGTTTTTATGTGTAGGTATTTCCTTTTCCACCATAGGCCTCAAAGCACTCCAAATATCCACTTTCAGATTCTAGAAAAAGAGTGATTTAAAACTGCTCTATCAACAGAAAGGTTCGACTCTGTGAGTTGAATGCACTTATCACAAAGAAGTTTCTGAGAATGCTTCTGTCTAGTTTTTATGTGAAGATATTTCCTTTTCCACCATAAGCCTCAAAGCGCTCCAAATATCTACTTACACATTCTACAAAAAGAGTTTCAAAACCGCTCTACAAAAGAAAGGTTCAACTCTGTGAGTTGAATTCACACATCACAAAGAAGTTTCAGAGAATGCTTCTGTCTAGTTTTTATGTGAAGATATTTCCTTTTACACCATAGGCCTCAAACCGCTCCAAATATCCACTTGCAGATTCTGCAAAAAGACTTTTTCAAAACTGCTCAATCAAAGGAAAGCTCAACTCTGTGAGTTGAATGCACACAACACAAACAAGTTTCTGAGAATGCTGCTGTCTAGTTTTTATGTGCGGATATTTCCTTTTCCACCATAGGCATCAAAGCGCTCCAAATATCCAACTGCAGATTCTACAAAAAGAGTGTGTGAAAACTGCTCTATCAAAGAAAGGTTCAACTCTGTGAGTTGAATGCACACATCACAAAGACGTTTCTGAGAATGCTTCTGCTCTAGTTTTTTTGTGAAGGTGTTTCCTTTTCCACCATAGGCCTCAAAGCGCTCCAAATATCCACTTGCAGATTCTTCAGAAAGAGTGTTTCAAAACTGCTCAATCATAGGAAAAGTTCAACTCTGTGAGTTGAATGCACACAACACAAAGAAGATTCTGAGAATGCTTCTGTCTAGTTTTTATGTGAAGATATTTCCTTTTACACCATAGGCCTCAAACTGCTCCAAATATCCACTTGCAGATTCTACAAAAAGACTTTTTTAAAACTGCTCAATCAAAGAAAAGTTTCAATTCTGTGAGTTGAATGCACACAACACAAACAAGTTTCTGAGAATGCTGCTGTCTAGATTTTATGTGCGGATATTTCGTTTTCCACCATAGGCATCAAAGAGCTCCAAACATCCAACCGCACATTGTACAAAAATAGTGTTGCAAAACTGCTCTATCAAAAAAAAAGGTTCAACTCTGTGAGTTGAATGCACACATCACAAAGAAGTTTCTGAGAATGCTTCTGCTCTAGTTTTTTTTGTGAAGGTGTTTCCTTTTCCACCATAGGCCTCAAAGCGCTCCAAATATCCACTTTCAGATTCCTGAAAAAGAGTGTTTTAAAACTCCTCTATCAATTTAAGTTTTCAACTCTGTGAGTTGAATGCACTCATCACAAAGATACTTCTGAGAATGCTTCCGTCTAGTTTTTATGTGAAGATATTTCCTTTTCCACCAGAGGCCTCAAAGCACTCCAAATATCCACTTTCAGATTCTAGAAAAAGAGTGTTTTAAAACTGCTCTATCAACAGAAATGTTCAACTCTGTGAGTTGAATGCACTTATCACAAAGAAGTTTCTGAGAATGCTTCTGTCTAGTTTTTATGTGAAGATATTTCCTTTTCCACCGTAAGCCTCAAAGCGCTCCATATATCTACTTGCAGATTCTACAAAAAGAGAGTTTCAAAACTGCTCTACAAAAGAAAGGTTCAACTCTGTGACTTGAATGCACACATCACAAAGAAGTTTCAGAGAATGCTTCTGTCTAGTTGTTATGTGAAGATATTTCCTTTTACACCATAGGCTTCAAACGCTCCAAATATCCGCTTGCAGATGCTGCAAAAGGACTTTTTCAAAACTGCTCAATCAAAGGAAAGTTTCAACTCTGTGAGTTGAATGCACACAACACAAACAAGTTTCTGAGAATGCTGCTGTCTAGTTTTTATGTGCGGATATTTCCTTTTCCACCATAGGCATCAAAGCGCTCCAAATATCCAACTGCAGATTCTACAAAAAGAGTGTTTCAAAACTGCTCTATCAAAGAAAGGTTCAACTCTGCGTGTTGAATGCACACATCACAAAGACGTTTCTGAGAATACTTCTGTATAGTTTTTATGTGAAGATATTTCCTTTTCCACCATAAGCCTCAAAGCGCTCCAAATATCTACTTGCAGATTCTACAAAAAGAGTGTTTCAAAACTGCTCTACGAAAGAAAGGTTCAACTCTGTGAGTTGATTTCACACATCACAAAGAAGTTTCTGAGAATGCTTCTGTATAGTTTTTATGTGAAGATATTTCCTTTTACACCATAGGCCTCAAACTGCTCCAAATATCCACTTGTGGATTCTACAAAAAGACTTTCTCAAAACTGCTCAATCAAAGGAAAGGTTCAACTCTGTGAGTTGAATGCACACAACACAAACAAGTTTCTGAGAATGCTGCTGTCTAGATTTTATGTGCGGATATTTCGTTTTCCACCATAGGCATCAAAGCGCTCCAAATATCCAACCGCAGATTGTACAAAAATAGTGTTTCAAAACTGCTCTATCAAAAAAAAAGGTTCAACTCTGTGAGTTGAATGCACACATCACAAAGAAGTTCCTGAGAATGCTTCTGCTCTAGTTTTTTTTTGTGAAGGTGTTTCCTTTTCCACCATAGTCCTCAAAGCGCTCCAAATATCCACTTTCAGATACCTGAAAAAGAGTGTTTTAAAACTCCTCTATCAACATAAATGTTCAACTCTGTGAGTTGAATGCACTCATCACAAAGATATTTCTGAGAATGCTTCCGCCTAGTTTTTATGTGTAGGTATTTCCTTTTCCTCCATGAGCCTCAAAGCACTCCAAATATCCACTTTCAGATTCTAGAAAAAGAGTGATTTAAAACTGCTCTATCAACAGAAACGTTCGACTCTGTGGGTTGAATGCACTTATCACAAAGAAGTTTCTGAGAATGCTTCTGTCTAGTTTTTATGTGAAGATATTTCCTTTTCCACCATAAGCCTCAAAGCGCTCCAAATATCTACTTACACATTCTACAAAAAGAGTTTCAAAACTGCTCTACAAAAGAAAGGTTCAACTCTGCGAGTTGAATTCACACATCACAAAGAAGTTTCAGAGAATGGTTCTGTCTAGTTTTTATGTGAAGATATTTCCTTTTACACCATAGGCCTCAAACCGCTCCAAATATCCACTTGCAGATTCTGCAAAAAGACTTTTTCAAAACTGCTCAATCAAAGGAAAGGTCAACTCTGTGAGTTGAATGCACACAACACAAACAAGTTTCTGAGAATGCTGCTGTCTAGTTTATATGTGCGGATATTTCCTTTCCCACCATAGGCATCAAAGAGCTCCAAATATCCAATTGCAGATTCTACAAAAAGAGTGTTTCAAAACTGCTCTATCAAAGAAAGGTTCAACTCTGTGAGTTGAATGCACAAATCACAAAGAAGTTTCTGAGAATGCCTCTGCTCTAGTTTTTTTGTGAAGGTGTTTCCTTTTCCACCATAGGCCTCAAAGCGCTCCAAATATCCACTTGCAGATTCTTCAGAAAGAGTGTTTCAAAACTGCTCAATCATAGGAAAAGTTCAACTCTGTGAGTTGAATGCACACAACACAAAGAAGTTTCTGAGAATGCTTCTGTCTAGTTTTTATGTGAAGATATTTCCTTTTACACCATAGGCCTCAAACTGCTCCAAATATCCACTTGTGGATTCTACAAAAAGACTTTTTCAAAACTTCTCAATCAAAGGAAAGGTTCAACTCTGTGAGTTGAATGCACACAACACAAACAAGTTTCTGAGAATGCTGCTGTCTAGATTTTATGTGCGGATATTTCGTTTTCCACCATAGGCATCAAAGCGCTCCAAATATCCAACCGCAGATTGTACAAAAATAGTGTTTCAAAACTGCTCTATCAAAAAAAAAGGTTCAACTCTGTGAGTTGAATGCACACATCACAAAGAACTTTCTGAGAATGCTTCTGCTCTAGTTTTTTTTGTGAAGGTGTTTCCTTTTCCACCATAGGCCTCAAAGCGCTCCAAATATCCACTTTCAGATTCCTGAAAAAGAGTGTTTTAAAACTCCTCTATCAACATAAGTGTTCAACTCTGTGAGTTGAATGCACTCATCACAAAGATATTTCTGAGAATGCTTCCGCCTAGTTTTTATGTGTAGGTATTTCCTTTTCCACCATAGGCCTCAAAGCACTCCAAATATCCACTTTCAGATTCTAGAAAAAGAGTGATTTAAAACTGCTCTATCAACAGAAAGGTTCGACTCTGTGAGTTGAATGCACTTATCACTAAGAAGTTTCTGAGAATGCTTCTGTCTAGTTTTTATGTGAAGATATTTCCTTTTCCAACATAAGCCTCAAAGCGCTCCAAATATCTACTTACAGATTCTACAAAAAGAGTTTCAAAACTGCTCTACAAAAGAAAGGTTCAACTCTGTGAGTTGAATTCACACATCACAAAGAAGTTTCAGAGAATGCTTCTGTCTAGTTTTTATGTGAAGATATTTCCTTTTACACCATAGGCCTCAAACCGCTCCAAATATCCACTTGCAGATTCTGCAAAAAGACATTTTCAAAACTGCTCAATCAAAGGAAAGCTCAACTCTGTGAGTTGAATGTACACAACACAAACAAGTTTCTGAGAATGCTGCTGTCTAGTTTTTATGTGCGGATATTTCCTTTTCCACCATAGGCATCAAAGCGCTCCAAATATCCAACTGCAGATTCTACAAAAAGAGTGTTTCAAAACTGCTCTATCAAAGAAAGGTTCAACTCTGTGAGTTGAATGCACACATCACAAAGACATTTCTGAGAATGCTTCTGCTCTAGTTTTTTTGTGAAGGTGTTTCCTTTTCCACCATAGGCCTCAAAGCGCTCCAAATATCCACTTGCAGATTCTTCAGAAAGAGTGTTTCAAAACTGCTCAATCATAGGAAAAGTTCAACTCTGTGAGTTGAATGCACACAACACAAAGAAGTTTCTGAGAATGCTTCTGTCTAGTTTTTATGTGAAGATATTTCCTTTTACACCATAGGCCTCAAGCTGCTCCAAATATCCACTTGTGGATTCTACAAAAAGACTTTTTCAAAGCTACTCAATCAAAGGAAAGGTTCAACTCTGTGAGTTGAATGCACACAATACAAACAAGTTTCTGAGAATGCTGCTGTCTAGATTTTATGTCCGGATATTTCGTTTTCCACCATAGGCATCAAAGCGCTCCAAATATCCAACCGCAGATTGTACAAAAATAGTGTTTCAAAACTGCTCTATCAAAAAAAAAGGTTCAACTCTGTGAGTTGAATGCACACATCACAAAGAAGTTTCTGAGAATGCTTCTGCTCTAGTTTTTTTTGTGAAGGTGTTTCCTTTTCCACCATAGGCCTCAAAGCGCTCCAAATATCCACTTTCAGATTCCCGAAAAAGAGTGTTTTAAAACTCCTCTATCAACATAAATGTTCAACTCTGTGAGTTGAATGCACTCATCACAAAGATATTTCTGAGAATGCTTCCGCCTAGTTTTTATGTGTAGGTATTTCCTTTTCCACCATAGGCCTCAAAGCACTCCAAATATCCACTTTCAGATTCTAGAAAAAGAGTGATTTAAAACTGCTCTATCAACAGAAAGGTTCGACTCTGTGAGTTGAATGCACTTATCACAAAGAAGTTTCTGAGAATGCTTCTGTCTAGTTTTTATGTGAAGATATTTCCTTTTCTACCATAAGCCTCAAAGCGCTCCAAATATCTACTTACAGATTCTACAAAAAGAGTTTCAAAACTGCTCTACAAAAGAAAGGTTCAACTCTGTGAGATGAATTCACACATCACAAAGAAGTTTCAGAGAATGCTTCTGTCTAGTTTTTATGTGAAGATATTTCCTTTTACACCATAGGCCTCAAACTGCTCCAAATATCCACTTGTGGATTCTACAAAAAGACTTTTTCAAAACTGCTCAATCAAAGGAAAGGTTCAACTCTGTGAGTTGAATGCACACAACACAAACAAGTTTCTGAGAATGTTGCTGTCTAGATTTTATGTGCGGATATTTCGTTTTCCACCATAGGCATCAAAGCGCTCCAAATATCCAACTGCAGATTGTACAAAAATAGTGTTTCAAAACTGCTCTATCAAAAAAAAAGATTCAACTCTGTGAGTTGAATGCACACATCAGAAAGAACTTTCTGAGAATGCTTCTGCTCTAGTTTTTTTTGTGAAGGTGTTTCCTTTTCCACCATAGGCCTCAAAGCGCTCCAAATATCCACTTTCAGATTCCCGAAAAAGAGTGTTTTAAAACTCCTCTATCAACATAAATGTTCAACTCTGTGAGTTGAATGCACTCATCACAAAGATATTTCTGAGAATGCTTCCGCCTAGTTTTTATGGGTAGGTATTTCCTTTTCCACCATAGGCCTCAGAGCACTCCAAATATCCACTTTCAGATTCTAGAAAAAGAGGGATTTAAAACTGCTCTATCAACAGAAAGTTTCGACTCTGTGAGTTGAATGCACTTATCACAAAGAAGTTTCTGAGAATGCTTCTGTCTAGTTTTTATGTGAAGATATTTCCTTTTCCACCATAAGCCTCAAAGCGCTCCAAATATCTACTTACACATTCTACAAAAAGAGTTTCAAAACTGCTCTACAAAAGAAAGGTTCAACTCTGTGAGTTGAATTCACACATCACAAAGAAGTTTCAGAGAATGCTTCTGTCTAGTTTTTATGTGAAGAGATTTCCTTTTACACCATAGGACACAAACCGCTCCAAATATCCACTTGCAGATTCTGCAAAAAGACTTTTTCAAAACTGCTCAATCAAAGGAAAGGTCAACTCTGTGAGTTGAATGCACACAACACAAACAAGTTTCTGAGAATGCTGCTGTCTAGTTTTTATGTGCGGATATTTCCTTTTCCACCATAGGCATCAAAGCGCTCCAAATATCCAACTGCAGATCCTACAAAAAGAGTGTTTCAAAACTGCTCTATCAAAGAAAGGTTCAACTCTGTGAGTTGAATGCACACATCACAAAGACGTTTCTGAGAATGCTTCTGCTCTAGTTTTTTTGTGAAGGTGTTTCTTTTTCCACCATATGTCTCAAAGCGCTCCAAATATCCACTTGCAGATTCTTCAGAAAGAGTGTTTCAAAACTGCTCAATCATAGGAAAAGTTCAACTCTGTGAGTTGAATGCACACAACACAAAGAAGTTTCTGAGAATGCTTCTGTATAGTTTTTATGTGAAGATATTTCCTTTTACACCATAGGCCTCAAACTGTTCCAAATATCCACTTGTGGATTCTACAAAAAGACTATTTCAAAACTGCTCAATCAAAGGAAAGGTTCAACTCTGTGAGCTGAATGCACACAACACTAACAAGTTTCTGAGAATGCTGCTGTCTAGATTTTATGTGCGGATATTTCGTTTTCCACCATAGGCATCAAAGCGCTCCAAATATCCAACCGCAGATTGTACAAAAATAGTGTTTCAAAACTGCTCTATCAAATAAAAAGGTTCAACTCTGTGAGTTGAATGCACACATCACAAAGAAGTTCCTGAGAATGATTCTGCTCTAGTTTTTTTTGTGAAGGTGTTTCCTTTTCCACCATAGGCCTCAAAGCGCTCCAAATATCCACTTTCAGATTCCTGAAAAAGAGTGTTTTAAAACTCCTCTATCAACATAAATGTTCAACTCTGTGAGTTGAATGCACTCATCACAAAGATATTTCTGAGAATGCTTCCGCATAGTTTTTATGCGTAGGTATTTCCTTTTCCACCATAGGCCTCAAAGCTCTCCAAATATCCACTTTCAGATTCTAGAAAAAGAGTGATTTAAAACTGCTCTATCAACAGAAAGGTTCGACTCTGTGAGTTGAATGCACTTATCACAAAGAAGTTTCTGAGAATGCTTCTGTCTAGTTTGTATGTGAAGATATTTCCTTTTCCATCATAGGCTTCAATGTGCTCCAAATATCCACTTGTAGATTCTACAGAAAGAGTGTTTCAAAACTACTCTATCAAAAGAAATGTTCAACTATGTGAATTGAATGAACTCATCACAAAGAAGTTTCTGAGAATGCTTCTGTCTAGTTTTCATGTGAAGATATTTCCTTTTACACCATAGGCCTCAAACTGCTCCAAATATCCACTTGCAGATTCTACAAAAAGACTTTTTCAAAACTGCTCAATCAAAGGAAAGGTTCAACTCTGTGAGTTGAATGCACACAACACAAACAACTTTCTGAGAATGCTGCTGTCTAGTTTTTATGGGCGGATATTTCCTTTTCCACCATAGGCATCAAAGCGCTCCAAATATCCAACTGCAGATTCTACAAAAAGAGTTTTTCAAAACTGCTCTATCAAAGAAAGGTTCAACTCTGTGAGTTGAATGCACACATCACAAAGACGTTTCTGAGAATGCTTCTGCTCTAGTTTTTTTGTGAAGGTGTTTCCTTTTCCACCATAGGCCTCAAAGCGCTCCAAATATCCACTTGCAGATTCTTCAGAAAGAGTGTTTCAAAACTGCTCAATCATAGGAAAAGTTCAACTCTGTGAGTTGAATGCACACAACACAAAGAAGTTTCTGAGAATGCTTCCGTCTAGTTTTTATGTGAAGATATTTCCTGTTACACCATAGGCCTCAAACTGCTCCAAATATCCACTTGTGGATTCTACAAAAAGACTTTTTCAAAACTGCTCAATCAAAGGAAAGGTTCAACTCTGTGAGTTGAATGCACACAACACAAACAAGTTTCTGAGAATGCTGCTGTCTAGATTTTATGTGCGGATATTTCGTTTTCCACCATAGGCATCAAAGCGCTCCAAATATCCAACCGCAGATTGTACAAAAATAGTGTTTCAAAACTGCTCTATCAAAAAAAAAGGTTCAACTCTGTGAGTTGAATGCACACATCACAAAGAACTTTCTGAGAATGCTTCTGCTCTAGTTTTTTTTGTGAAGGTGTTTCCTTTTCCACCATAGGCCTCAAAGCGCTCCAAATATCCACTTTCATATTCCCGAAAAAGTGTGTTTTAAAACTCCTCTATCAACATAAATGTTCAACTCTGTGAGGTGAATGCACTCATCACAAAGATATTTCTGAGAATGCTTCCGCCTAGTTTTTATGTGTAGGTATTTCCTTTTCCACCATATGCCTCAGAGCACTCCAAATATCCACATTCAGATTGTAGAAAAAGAGAGATTTAAAACTGCTCTATCAACAGAAAGGTTCGACTCTGTGAGTTGAATGCACTTATCACAAAGAAGTTTCTGAGAATGCTTCTGTCTAGTTTTTATGTGAAGATATTTCCTTTTCCACCATAAGCCTCAAAGCACTCCAAATATCTACTTACAGATTCTACAAAAAGAGTTTCAAAACTGCTCTACAAAAGAAAGGTTCAACTCTGTGAGTTGAATTCACACATCACAAAGAAGTTTCAGAGAATGCTTCTGTCTAGTTTTTATGTGAAGATATTTCCTTTTACACCATAGGCCTCAAACCGCTCCAAATATCCACTTGCAGATTCTGCAAAAAGATTTTTTCAAAACTGCTCAATCAAAGGAAAGGTCAACTCTGTGAGTTGAATGCACACAACACAAACAAGTTTCTGAGAATGCTGCTGTCTAGATTTTATGTGTGGATATTTCCTTTTCCACCATAGGCATCAAAGCGCTCCAAATATCCAATTGCAGATTCTACAAAAATAGTGTTTCAAAACTGCTCTATCAAAGAAAGGTTCAATTCTGTGAGTTGAATGCACACATCACAAAGAAGTTTCTGAGAATGCTTCTGCTCCAGTTTTTTTGTGAAGGTGTTTCCTTTTCCACCATAGGCCTCAAAGCGCTCCAAATATCCACTTGCAGATTCTACAAAAAGAGTGTTTCAAAACTGCTCAATCAAAGGAAAAATACAACTCTGAGAGTTGAATGCACACAACACAAATTAGTTACTGACAATGCTTCTGCCTAGTTTCTATGTGAAGATATTTCCTTTTCCACCATAGGCCTCAAAGCACTCCAAATATCCACTTTCAGATTCTAGAAAAAGAGTGTTTTAAAACTGCTCTATCAAAAGAAAGGCTCAACTCTGTGAGTTGAATGCACTTATCACAAAGAAGTTTCTGAGAATGCTTCTGTCTAGTTTTTATGTGAAGATATTTCCTTTTCCACCATAAGCCTCAAAGCGCTCCAAATATCTACTTACACATTCTACAAAAAGAGTTTCAAAACTGCTCTACAAAAGAAAGGTTCAACTCTGTGAGTTGAATTCACACATCACAAAGAAGTTTCAGAGAATGCTTTCCGTCTAGATTTTATGTGAAGATATTTCCTTTTACACCATAGGCCTCAAACCGCTCCAAATATCCACTTGCAGATTCTGCAAAAAGACTTTTTCAAAACTGCTCAATCAAAGGAAAGGTTCAACTCTGTGAGTTGAATGCACACAACACAAACAAGTTTCTGAGAATGCTGCTGTCTAGTTTTTATGTGCGGATATTTCCTTTTCCACCATAGGCATCAAAGCGCTCCAAATATCCAACTGCAGATTCTACAAAAAGAGTGTTTCAAAACTGCTCTATCAAAGAAAGGTTCAACTCTGTGAGTTGAATGCACATATCACAAAGACGTTTCTGAGAATGCTTCTGCTCTAGTTATTTTGTGAAGGTGTTTCCTTTTCCACCATAGGCCTCAAAGCGCTCCAAATATCCACTTGCAGATTCTTCAGAAAGAGTGTTTCAAAACTGCTCAATCATAGGAAAAGTTCAACTCTGTGAGTTGAATGCACACAACACAAAGAATTTTCTGAGAATGCTTCTGTCTAGTTTTTATGTGAAGATATTTCCTTTTACACCATGGGCCTCAAACTGCTCCAAATATCCACTTGTGGATTCTACAAAAAGACTTTTTCAAAACTGCTCAATCAAAGGAAAGGTTCAACTCTGTGAGTTGAATGCACACAACACAAACAAGTTTCTGAGAATGCTGCTGTCTAGATTTTATGTGCGGATATTTCGTTTTCCACCATAGGCATCAAAGCGCTCCAAATATCCAACTGCAGATTGTACAAAAATAGTGTTTCAAAACTGCTCTATCAAAAAAAAAGGTTCAACTCTGTGAGTTGAATGCACACATCACAAAGAAGTTCCTGAGAATGCTTCTGCTCTATTTTTTTTGTGAAGGTGTTTCCTTTTCCACCACAGGCCTCAAAGCGCTCCAAATATCCACTTTCAGATTCCTGAAAAAGAGTGTTTTAAAACTCCTCTATCAACATAAGTGTTCAACTCTGTGAGTTGAATGCACTCATCACAAAGATATTTCTGAGAATGCTTCCGCCTAGTTTTTATGTGTAGGTATTTCCTTTTCCACCATAGGCCTCAGAGCACTCCAAATATCCACTTTCAGATTCTAGAAAAGAGTGATTTAAAACTGCTCTATCAACAGAAAGGTTCGACTCTGTGAGTTGAATGCACTTATCACAAAGAAGTTTCTGAGAATGCTTCTGTCTAGTTTTTATGTGAAGATATTTCCTTTTCCACCATAAGCCTCAAAGCGCTCCAAATATATACTTACATATTCTACAAAAAGAGTTTCAAAACTGCTCTACAAAAGAAAGGTTCAACTCTGTGAGTTGAATTCACACATCACAAAGAAGTTTCAGAGAATGCT